>NC_000013.11:73862651-74014166 GCF_000001405.40 Homo sapiens | reverse complement strand
TCAATCCAAATGGCCTTGTGCTGACAAGAACTCCAAATTGTGGAAGAATCTTTTAAAATGTTATTTTTTCAGAGTTAGTTTAAAAGGTTCCTGCCCCCTGCAAGTTATGCTCAATAGCCTATTTCTCAAACTCTTCCTCAGAAATAGAAAATAATTCCAGGTGAGTGTTTGAAAGTAGCCTGCTGTTGGCCAGCTGTGGGGACACATGCTTGTAGTCCCAACTACTCTGAAGGCTGAGATGGGAGGATACCTTGAGCCCAGGAGTTCAAGACTAGCCTGGGCAACATAGACCTCATCTCTTAAAAAAAAAAAAGAAAAGAAGAAGAAAGTAGCCTAATGCAAGCAGTGAATTTGAGTCTTTTTGCTTTATTTTATGTGACTTTTGAACTATAGTCATAATATACTGTTCGTTTTAATATAAATTATCAAAAAACCCTACAAGTAAAATAGATGCTTCAGTAGAAGCTGCATGTTTTTTATGTGAGTTCATATTCCTCCTTGCAAGGGCCCAGAGAAATCTAGGATCCTTATAGTTTAGAATTTCTTTGCCCCCCTAGATATTTTGAATCTGAAGGAAAGAATGGTACAACACATATCATGAACTGGCTGATATGTAGATGGTGTTTTTGTGTTGTTGTTGTTACTATAGGAGTTTAATACAGAAATATTTTAAAATTAGCAAATTTTAGAAACAGAGATTATGCATGTCACTTGAATATAACTGTAGGGCAAACTTGTCAGGAGTGGAGTAGCAGTGGTTCTCTCCAGAGAGTGCATTTCTTGTCCCTGCCACTTTCAGCCTTACTCTGTCTGGCTAGCCACCTCGGTCTCAACCCTGGCTCTTTTTAGCATTTAGACTTGTAGCTGCCTAAGTAAATTCAAGTGCTGTGGGTTGTTATAGGTATGCTGAGATAGTGATTTTCTCTGACACTTGGAGAATGATGGGAATAAAGTTGGGAGATGCCCAGTTAGCCTTTTGGTAACTTCAGGCACAGCCTGGCATTCCCCAGGATGTCCCAAGGTTAGGGGTTCAGGGAATCCGTTCCCATGAGGGGCCTTTCTTGTGTTCGTACCCAGCTGTTGAAGACTGCCAACTCTTAAAGGCCTTCCACAGACATAGAAGAAAGAAATCTACATGTTCTTTACCAGGCGGGTATTCTTTCTATGTCACAGATTTGAATTAGCTGCTTATGTTTCCTCAGAAAAATGGTCCAGTTTGGCAATTTGCTCACCCATAACGGGCTCTATCGAAGTAAGGCAGGGATAGTTAGTAGAGGTCATATATTTGAAAACACTGTCTTTATGTATAACTCCATGAAAAAAATGATGAGTGGTTAGATATAATATGTGATTGTTTTTTAAGTACTGCTAGTTGTAAAGGAACTGAAGTACTGCAAAATAGCTTAAGTGTACAGTGATTTCTTTCAGCACTTTTACCTGTTATGAAAATTATGAACTGCTAAGCAAGTTTGTTTACTCAGAAGAATGCTTAAGGAAAAACATAACTAGAAGCAACAGTAAGATAACAACTGAATGAAAATGTTGTCAGAGGTTTGACATTTAAGAATTTTGGAGGATGGCTTGGCCTGAGTTTCCAGATGATACTGTAACATAATATACTTAGTTGTGCTCATTTTAATCATGTATATTGTCACATGCATTTCCCATCAGCAATGTAGCAGGGATGTGATATAAAATAGGTGACATTTTATTTTATCAATTTAAAAAAGCAGCCCTGCTTCAGGACATGAAACAGTGTACTCAGGAATAGATATTGGGTTATATTTCTGGTCCTCTGGGACTCTTTTCGTTTTAATAGTCTATGAGGATTATGGAAAGCTCTTGACACTTCCATTCAGACATGGCTGTGCACGAATGACTGTGCTTTGGAAGACACATCCAGCACTTTTGGGATCACTTTGTAGAATTTTCTAAGAACTAAAGGTTGATAATCTGGTGAGATAAAAATTAGGTACCAAGAAGCATCAAATACATTCTGCACAATTATAGCTCTCCAAGGGGCTGAAGATTGTGCTAAATTAACAGTACATGTGATACATTTACATCCAGATGCATTAAATGCTAGATTAAACAAGAAAACATGTCTTTGGGGAGTTTAGTGGATGTTTTAAGGTCTATATAAAATACAGTTAAAGGCCAGGAAAATTCCCAGTGTGTCATACAAGGGTTTGAAATGTGGAACCTTGACCAGTACTGTTCAATAGAAACATAACTGAATCAGTTTCAGGAATTTTAGAGTTCCTAATCACCATAGTGAAAAGACATAGTTGAAATTTAAAATAATATATTAATACTTATTTAACCCAGTACTGTTTGTCCCTTGGTATTCATGGGAGAAAAGACACTCTTCTGATGCCAAAATCCACAGATGCTCAAATCCCTGATATAAAATGGCATACTGTTTGTATATAACCTATGTGTATCCTCCCATACACTTTACATTCTCTAGATTACTTAAAATTCACAACACAATGCCCACACATTGTTTCATTCACATGGATTTAATGTAGTACTTAGTCTGCGGCAAATTCGAGTTTTGCTTTTTGGATCTTTGTGGAAATTCTTTTTTTCTTGAATATTTTTGATCTGCAGTTAATTGAATCCATGGATGCAGAACCCACAGAGAAAGAGGGCCGACTGTATATCCAAAATATTATCATTTCAATGTGTATCAATAGAAAATGATTAGTAAATGGTTAGTGAACTTTTTAAAGTTATTTTTGTATTGCACACTTGTAGAACAACTTAAATTGCACTAGCTACATGTAGATGCTCTGTGGACACATGGGCCTGGTGGTCAGTGAAATCACCACTAGCAGTTCTAGCATTTTGCCTCTGCAGTACTGTGAACAGAAATTTTATACTGTTCCAATTCATAATTCCATGGCTTTTTTTTTTTTTTTTTTGCTCTGACTTGTGCTTTCTGAAATCGAGTCCTCCTTTATTTTTAACTACACTAGAGATTTAATTGGAAAGGGGAGGAAGGAGTTTAAGTATTTGTTGATTCAGTGAATGAATGATTAAAGTTCATAGTGAAGGATCAAGATATAGATTTCCCAATAATTAAGGGAATAAGATCACTGATATTAAAGAGGCAATAAAAAGGAGAGAGTAGAAGTTACTGAAAATCAAAGTCTAATTCTGGAATAGATTAAATTTTTAAACCTAAAGCCAAAAAATCTACATAAGTAGGAATGCTGGATGATGGATTTTCAGAATGATCTGTTCCTTTGTATGTTTTAGTTTACTTGGATGATATTACTTTGAAAAACCATGAACCAGTCTTCTATTGCCTCTCTGTAAAAGGAGACTGTGACATTAATGCATGTTTCTAGAAATCTGGTTGTATTTATTAACTAAATTTCTGCTTTCTTAAATTAGCATAATTTAAGATTATAGACTACCCAGAGAGGTTCATGCAGCTTTTTTTGATTTTGTTAGACACGAGCAGCTTCTAAGATCTAGTAGTATTGATTAGGTCTGTGTTTTAAAAACCAAAATAGTACTTATAAATAAGAAAAAATAATAACTACAAACGCCTTGTACAAATTACATGTTTTAGATTCTCCAAATATGACAAAATGATGCAAAGTAGGCATTAAGCCATTTGTGGATGTGAAAAAACTGGATTTTAGAGAAATTATGGCTAGGCCATAACTTGGAAACAGAAAAGCTGGGTGTTGAATGTAGGGTGTAGCATGCCACATCTCATCCAGCATCAGGAGGGGAATAGTCATTTAAGGAAACATTATTGCCTCTGAACTCTGCAATTATTGTTCGTGGTCTTACCAAAATAGGTGGGGGAGTTGCTTTCCAGTAACTTCTGAGGCCCCTGGGACTTTTGGGGTATGTGTGTAGGGTGGTGTTCTTGCATAATGTCTTTGAGAAAACCTACATTAAAACATCTGGGCGTGGTGGTGCTTGCCTGTAATCCTGGTGCTTTGGGTGGTTGAAGAGGGTGGATCACCTGAGGTCAGGAGTTTGAGACCAGCCTGGGCCATGTGACAAAACCCAGTCTCTACCAAAAAATCAGCCAGGTGTGGTGGTGCATGCCTGTAGTCCTAGCTACTTGGGAGGCTCAAGTGGGAGGCTTGCTTGAGCCCAGGAGGTGGAGGTTGCAGTGAGCCGAGATCTCACCAGTGTACTCCAGCCTGGGTGATAGAGTGAGACCCTGTCTCAAAATAAAAGTAAAAGCAAATAAAAGTAAAATACACTGGCAAACAAGATCTTCGTTATAGTTTGTTTAATTTAAACTCCTTCAGTCACAGACTACTTGTGGAGAAATGCTTCCCAAATGGTAGCTAGAGTCAGTCTGCCAGTGGCTCCTGGTTAAAACTTGAGAATGAGAGCACGAGACTCTCCTGTGTTTGCTTGGATCCACAAAGTAAATGCTGCAGTGACAATTCATGTAGCACTTCTGAGATCTGGCCATATTTAACTATATACATTTATTGACTGTACTTATAGGACCATACATGCCAGCAAATCAAGCCGTTTAGAAGTATGCTGTTTCTGGAGTTCTTCAAAAATTACCACGTTTCTCTCCTTCTCTCTTGTTCCCCTAAAACCCATTCTGACTGCTGCCTACAGAACAATCCGGCATAGCACTTCCATCTAGCTCACAGACCAGAAGCTTCAGGGAGAGGCAAAATGGCATGAGGAAAAGAGTGTGGACTTTGGGAACTGACAAAATGGGTTCAAATTCCAGCTGTTTGGTTGAATAGCTGTTGAACTGTCTTCACTTGTAAGTGGAGGTTACTATCCTTTCTTCACAAGGTTACCGTGAAGATTACTTAACATAATGTGTATAAAGTACTTACCACACTGCCTGACACATAACCTGATTTATGAATTGCATTTGTGCTGCTGAAATACTATTGTAAGTAATATACTCCTTTAAAATTTTCAAGATAGTGACAGATAGATTCCTGAGCATTCCAAGTGGCTGTGATAAAACAGTAGGGAAACAGATTATTTACAGTCACAGATAAACTGTTACAATGCAGTGCTTTATTGAACTGTGCTTAGAAAAGAAATCCTCTCTACTCACCTTCAGAATTCCTCAAGGCCACAAATCCATCCTCGGCCAGCTTTGGAGAATCCTTCAGCTACTGTTGCATTCACAGGCTCAGCTGGGAAATAGTGAAAATATTTCACTCCATGGTCCTCATTTGTATCTCCTAAGAATCTCCTTTCAGAGTGGTATGTAGTAAATAGAAGAGGAGTGCTGGTTACAATGGACATAAGTTATCGATTTTATTCCTGCCTGAAGCAGGTTGGGAGCTACTGGGAATGAGAAGATTGGTTAAATTTTATGAATTCATCAGTGCAGAGTCAGAACTCAAATTCTGTTAACAATATTAATCTATTCCAGCTCATTACAGTTGTCTTGCAGACTTGTGCATGTACAAAATATAGGATTTATAGGATCCACAACTTTATTAATGAAAGGAGACTCAAAGATCTTCAACCCCTTAATTTCATAAATGAGGATGCTGAGACCAGAAAGTTTAACTGACTTGCCAATTGGCACATACAGTAGTTAATGGTAGTATTGCAGTTTAATTAAGGAAAAATGACCAAATTGTTTTCTCCATCTAATTTGGTGTGAATCTTCATTAGCGAATCAAATAATATTTAGTCGTCAGCCATAAGAATTCATCATATTGCAAAGAACAACAGAAACCCCAAACAAAATGCATTGTATAACTTGTTTGCATTAAAAGCTGTTGCTGATGTAAAGGACTTTATGAGATGGATGGAATACCAGATGTGTTTCCAGTTGCTTGGCCTCCTCCAAACAAGAGTGGCTCATGTACCCTCTCTTATTAATTGATTGGTCCTTGGTGGTAGCTGATTTTGGAGTGACTCATGCATATACTGGACATTGCTCTATAATTTGGGCAGTATGACTCAAAATTAGGAATTGGTCTGATCAAAATTTATCTTACAGGAAAGTTTTTGTTTTAGTGAAATAAAAAGTGCAAAAATTGTATAAATCATAAGTATATGCCTCAGTAAATGTTCAGAATTGAACACATCCATGTAACTACCACCCAGATAAAATATTAAAACATTACCATCCCCAAAGTCAGCCCCTTGTATCCCTTTCCAGCTGGTCATTGTCACTCTCTCAATGTAACTGTTACTTTGATTTCATATCAATTGATGTTAACTGTTTTTGAGTCTTTTGAATGGACTCAAATTGTGTGCACTTTTGTAACTGGTTTAATTTTATTTCACATTGCGTTTTTTTTTTTCCATGTACCAGTTGTTTGTTCTCATTGTTTTATAGCATTTCATTGTTTTTTAAATTTCCAGGTATAAATGTTTTTTGTTTTGGTATATTGATTTGTGTATGTCTGCATACGAAAATCAGTGATGATACTAAATTCATGTTAATTCTAATATTGTGACTATTCTTCATATTTTCTGCTACAGAATTATGTTTTCCACGAATAATAACAATTTTGTTTTAAACTAATGTTTATTTTATATCTTTAGGCTTTATGGTACTTGCTAGAACCTCCGACATTAGCTGTATTGGGGTAATGAAAAATACCCTTGTCTTGGCCGGCCGCGGTGGCTCACGCCTGTAATCCCAGCACACTGGGAGGCCGAGGCGGGCGGATCACGAGGTCAGGAGATCGGGACCATCCTGGCGAACACGGTGAAACCCTGTCTCTACTAAAAATACAAAAAAAAAAATTACCGGGCGTGGTGGCGGGCGCCTGTGGTCCCAGCTGAGACTGAGGCAGGAGAATGACGTGAACCCGGGGGGGATGGAGCTTGCAGTGAGCCGAGATCGCGCCACTGCACTCCAACCTGGGAGGCAGCGAGACTCCATCTCAAAAAAAAAAAATAAAAATATCCTTGTCTTTTTCTGATTTCTGTCTTTTTCTGATTTCAGTGGGTAAAGCTTTCAGTATTTCACCACAAAATGTGATGCCTACAGTAGATTTTTAAAGGCAGTCCTATTTACAAATTCTAAGGTTAATTAAAAAATAGTTGGCTGTGTTGATTTTATTCAGTACTTGTGTCTACGTGAGGAGATGATAATGCAGGAGAGATTTGGCTGCAGGCAGAGATGGAACCCCTCCCAGAGGAAGAGGAGGAAACCCCTTCCTCTTCAGAAGGGCTGTGAAAGTAAATGTAAATTGAGACGTACTGGAAAAAAATAATGTAAATTCTTGAGACTGGGATTATCGTGATGAAATATCTCAAACATTAGCCAGGTATGTTTGTCATGTGCATTGGAAAGAGCAGAGACTAGAGATGAGCAATCGTTCAGACTTGTTAAATGAGGACCTAAAGGAGATGAGGTGGCAAAGGAAAATTGCAAAAGTCAATCTAAAGAGTCTTTGGAGAGAAGGATGGATTTTTGTTATACAATGGTAGAAAAGGGTGTTAACATTGACTCAAAGATAAGGTTGAAGCAACTGGTTGCTGATGACTTCTGACTGAAAGGGGAAAGCAGTTCATTGAGGGAAAAATAGTGACTTCAGTTTTGAGTTCTTGGAAGTGCTGCTGTCTCCTTCCCTAGATGGTAAGCCATCATGTATAGGGGAACAGTCTTGGCTGTAAATCTCCATGGCTGTCGTAATTCCAGACGTACAATAAGATGATAAATGTATTTTGATTTGTTCACTGATACATATATGTGGACAAAAAGTAGAGATTTAAGTGGGAAATTTTGCCCAAAGGTGTTCCTTTGGGAGTTACCTGGGGTGGTGGTAATCGACACTAAGAGTTTAACTTTTAGGAGATCAAACACAGAGAGAAAGCATGTGTTAAAGTTAGGGAGGCTCTTGGAAGATACCTCTGTAGGGAGAGAGAATCTTCAAAAGACATCTGATGGTAATGGTTAGAGAGAACAGAGGTAAGAATCAGAGAAATCACTGAAATATGGAGGAGAATTTTCCAGGTGCAGGTTATCTATAATGCCAAATAGACATCAGTGATCAAAGAGACCATGGCGGAGAGGGAGTGGATAAAATAGTTAATAGGTTGTGATTACATGTCTGAGCAATGACAGAAATTGTTCTGCAACTACATGAAGCAGTAGAACTAGCCAAAACTAAAGTGTTGTATAGTAAACATCTGAATATTTTTAAGGCAGGAGAGATGACTTCTATGCTGGAGGAGAGTATAGAATGAGAACCCAGATGTGGTGACAGGAAGGGAAGCACCCTGAGCCAGATCAAAAGCATTTAAAAAGAATACTTGAAGTAGTAGTATGTAGTATAAAGCATCTTATGAAGCTGAAGACTGAAGCATGTTGTAATTTGAAGCTTATGGGTAAATACAATAACACCATTATAGAGGTTAGCAACCAGCAACCGTCCGTGATGAAGGAAATTTGTATGTTTTGGACAAAGATTGCCATTTATAAAGATCTCCAAATAGTATGTGCCATGCCCTTTGTGTGGCTCTTGTATTCATTTAGATGCTGTATGGCTGCGCTTTTCATGTTAAAGTTGAACAGAGTCATGTGTAATACTTCATAGCTGTATTCCCGATTTCTAGTAAGTTGTCATCTACTTGTTTTTCCTGAACTGAAATGCAGTTATTTTAATCCTCCATCCTGGCTTCATGGAGAGATGAACTGTGTCAAACCACACACCTGGTGCCTACTGTTCACAGATTTGATTTATTGGTGCTTCCCCAAAGTGCAGCATACCGCTGCCAGCCTTTTTAAATTTTGAAATATATGTTATACGATGTCTTTTTTCACCTTTGAATCCTCACTGATAGGCAGGGATATTTATTTATGTATAATTATGTAAAGGAGAATTAGTACATATGATTATAGAGATTTTATAGTTCCTTTATATTTATTTTTCTATATTTCAATCATTTTAGGAAGTTAACTATTTGACAGCGTTGAAGTTTATTTGCTTAGCTTTTAAAATGAGATGTAGGCTCTTTATTATTTGGTTACCTTATTGAGATTGTTTAATATTATGTTCATAGCAGTACCTTCAGAATCAGCAAAGAATCTAAGAGTTGAGGGAAATATTTTGCCAAAACTATGCATAAATTACTTTTTCAAATTATGTAATTTATAGTTGTTTAGGGTAACAGCCTCAAGCACAGGTTAGAAATACTTTTTTGAAATGTATTTTCATAATTGGCTTTTATTTTAAAGACGTTATCAAAGAATGCAGTTGATTTGTGAAGTGAAAGTTAAATTCCCTTTTTTTTTTTTGTCTGTGCACAGGTTTGGATATCATTGGTGAGGAAAGGAGAAAGAGAATTTTCATTCATTAATCCTAAGTTTCATGTAGGAGACTTTACACACAAATTTTAAAATCTTTGAAAAATCCCCCAAACCTTAAATGATTTAAGGAAAGGATTAATTTCTAATTAGTGGAGAAACTTAAAATACTGGCTTTATTGTAATATTGGGCACGATTTCAAATAATCTCAGATTTGGAATATGTTTTTCTTTTCCTTCATTGGAAAAGCATCTGAGTTTATGTCATTAGTTTAGAAATATCTTATTTTAAACTGCTTGAGGGGAAAACACCAAAACTCTCTTGTTGCTGTTGGCTTTCTGCATATTTTCTACAAAAAAAGATACCACACTGTTGTGCATTGCATGATGAAGTTATACCAAGATTATTTATAAGAATCATTTAAGTTACAGTACTTAAAATCATGAAGACTGGAGCCAAACTATAGGTTTCAAAATTCTGCCTTTGCCGCTTGTTAGGCAAGTTACTTCTCTGTGTTTCCACATCTGTAAAATGAGACTAATAATTCCACCCGCTTCACAAGGTTGTGAGGATTAATGCAAGTTAATAGACAATAGAGTAGTTAGAACAGTTGCTAGCACATAGTAAATTCATATTAAATATTTGCTGATGCCAGGACTGCTGTCACCACTACTACTTTTACTACTGGAATTTGATACCATTCCACCCTGAACAATTTTAATTCAGTTTGTTGGCTAGTGGCTTTCCTTTCCTGTATCTCACAAGATGTGTTTAGCCACCTTTGGGAATAAAGTTAGAGAACTGAAAGGATTCTTTAAAAAACCTGGTGTTTTTTGAATGATACTATATTTAAATTAAAATATAAAAATACATTCCCTATTCTTATTGGGGGATACGTGTGAGCCCTTAACCTGCTTACTCTCAATAATTATTTGATCATGTCATTTCACTTGTGAACGTATTAGTTTTGTGTGTGTCTCCAAATAGGTTTTTAAGCCTGCAGTGGGGCAGTTTTTGTTTTGGGATTACTTTTGAAAATGCCATTGACATTCCTTGGCTGCTACAATATTTTTCAAAATTATTTAATTTTTTGGAGTATTTGTGAAACTTACATAACTTATTCTTCAGGATTTTATCTTCTGTCTGTATTTTCAGTAGAGCTTAGCTGTGTATGTGTACATGTGCAGAAACACCATCTGTAAGCATATTTTCATTGATTCATATTTGAATAATAAATACTGTGCAATATTTGATCTTTGGCCAGCAGTGTCAGAAATATCAAGAATCGTGTGGAACATGACATAATTCTTAGTCATTTTTTCATAAAATTCTTGAAATTATATTTTAGTGGTCCTGACTTAGCATGCCTAATAAATCCCTTTGCATTGTAAGACAGATACACACCTGAGACACAGAAGTTAGACTTTCAGAATTGCTTTTATTATTTCCTTGAAATGAATCCCCCTTTCATATCAACAGGCTTCTTTTCCACATTAGAGTCCCTCTTTCAGTTGGATGGGCTGACTAATATGTTAACTCATGGGGTACTCACTCTACATATATTCTTTGTAAGTTATGCATATTTTCACATACATGTATGATTATTCTCAAATTCAGACTTAAATCTACTACCCAGTCCATCTCTTTTCCCTGAAATGTCTTGTCTTCCCCATTTTTCAAGACTCAGCTTTGTGTAAGCACTTCTGTGAAACTAAACTGATTTCCTTCCACTTCCCACTATACTCCGTTCTTTCACCAGAGCTCCCTATGGTGTTACTAAGGATGGCATCTTAATCTGAATTACAGAATGTTAACTTTAATCACTTACTTTCATTATAAAATGTGGACATCAGTTCAACTTGCCTGGAATAACTATGGTTCTTCCATGAATTCAATTAAATAATATATGTAAAAGTACCTAGTCATTGTTAACCATATGGTAAAACATTCAAGAGATGGTAGATATTAGTGTTATAATTATGTCATTTATCCATATTCAGCCCACCTTTGTTGACTGTGAGCTTCTGTGTGTCAGGTTCCATGGAGTATTATTGTTGATGTTCTCAGTTCTTTGCATATAGGCAGTTCATGTGTGAATTGATAACAGAATGTGTTTGCCATGTAATGTGCATCACTATTATAAATCAGTGACTTTTATTACCTGCCAGCAGTTGCTAGAATATGGTTGAGTTGACCTTCTTCAATTTTAGTATTTTTCCATTTTTAAAGGAGTCGTTTTTGATTCTTATAGTAAGAGTCAGACCAGGTACAGTGGCTCATGCCTGTAATCCCAGCACTTTGGGAGCCTGAGACAAGAATGTTGCTTGAGCCTGGGAATTTGAGACCAGCCTAAGCAACATGGCAGAACTCCGTCTCTACAAAACATTAGCCGAATGTGGTGGCGCTAGCCTGTAGTCCCAGCTACTCAAGAGGCTGAGGCAGGAGGATCACCTGAGTCTGGGGTGGTCGAGGCTGCAGTGAGCCATGATGGTGCTACTGCACTGTAGTCTGGATGACAGAGTGAGACCCTGTCTCGAAAACATAAATAAAGATAAAAAAGTAAATAAATAAGAAAATAATTTGTCATTCTAAACAAATGTTACTTTTATTTTCTGGGATTATGTAGTAATGAGAGAAGCATATGGTTAAGCAATCCCTTTGACAGTCTACTAATTTGCTTGTTGAGAAATACTAGTTGATTATGTATTATGACAGCTAGCTGTGTGTTGAGGAGCAGATTCGGAGATACATAGATGATATCTAAATACACAAACTTGGGTTGATGAATTCAGCCAGTCAGAGCTATTGTTCAGTAAGGCACTCGGCAACCTGTAAGATAATCATTAAAAATATCAAATAAAGTGTCTCATTTCTGGACCACTATGTCAACATGTCAGTAAAACAAATCTATTAAGTCCTTTGATTGATCTTTCAAATTATATTATAAAATCTACCTTTGTTAAAAGTTTCTTTGGCTCAGATGTGCAAAGAGATTGAACATAAAGTTTCCTAAAATACTTTGTCTTCTAATATTTTCTAATTATCGCAAAATATTTTGAGAATGCAAATTTCATTTAAATGTCAACCATAATTAAGCATGTACCATTTGTTTTTCTACTCAAGTTTCACAGTTTGATGGAATGTTTTCACCACAATTTAATAAATATTTGTTTTATTTCACATGAATTAATTCAAAAGTGTGGATAAGAGCAACATATTTTAATCAACTATTGTTGTGATGGGCTAGAAAATAAATTTATTCACTAAGCAAACTGTTTACTATGCATTTGAATAGGATTTATCTTGCTTAGCATTGGCAGCCCAAGCATACAGGCAACAATTAATAGGAAAGCCAAATATGTATACTGCATACTGAGCAAAGCAACTTATTTTTTCTTGATTGTGTCATAGATCTCTAGTATCTAAAACTTTTAACTATTTACCCCATAATGTCCTGTACCTAGCTGTGTTCCAACAACACCTGTTGAAGTGAAGTAGTAGAGAAATTCTTAGGCTGTGTGAACTATGCATTTGTAATTGGTACCAAATATGTGTTTGATTTTATTTTCAGTTGCTTTCAATATTTTTAATTTGGCATTCTATGTATACATCACGCAGCTACATTTTACAAGTAGTGCTGGAGATTACTGGGTAAATGGGCACCCTATTCTTCCCTTCCTTCCACCAGCCTCTCAAAACCCCAAAGATTTTTAACATCTTCAGCATGATAGTTAAAAATGCCTCCTGATAGATGGGATTAAGAGAAAGATGTGAGTGTTCTTCATCTGGCAATGCAAATGTGTGTGTGGCCAAGTTACTTTTGGCAGAATGCAGTACTACATGTGGTAGTACTTATGGTACTTACGTGCATGTCCAAATGGCACATGTTTATATTTTGTTACAATTTAAATCACATAAATTAGACATACAAAGACAAAATTTAATCATCTTGTCAATCCTTTGCAGTACAAATCAGATTTTTGACTATGCAGTCCTGATAAAATGGCAATTACATTTGAATCTGAGCATAGCATAAATTACTTTTCAAACCATTATATTGAGTACAATATATGTAAAAGAAATGCTTAATTCATTTGCTATGGTTACTTTCTTTTAAAGACTTATTTGTTCTCTGGGTGCACAGAATGATGGGGTGTAATGAAACGGAAGCTGAAAACAGATTAAAAGAGTAATTTCCATGTCAGTGTGCTTTTGCTTTACCTTCTCCTTCTGAAAATGGGCTGTGTATTCAGTGAGCTCTGTTCTTAAGTGACTGCTCAAGCTTTGGGGCATACCTTACTCCAAGTGGGACTTTAATTATTAAATTTTACTTTCTGTAGTAGTATCTGCTATTTTAAGTAGTGAAGAATCCTTGGGTGGAAGCGTAATTTCAAGGAAACATAAAACTGGAAATGGGGGACAGTTTTATAAATGAAGTATTTTAAGTCGACTTATGCAACGAACAGAATTCCAAGGGGATCTTTATTGAATATGGGTTATTATTGACCTCTGAAATCTTTCTCCTATTGCCATTGGCTGTTGCATCTTTGAATTTTCTTAATGGAGGAATTATGAACACTATACTCTGAGATCCTAGAGTGGAGATTCCATTTTCTGTGGATCCCAGGACCTTCGTATAAGCAAGTATGGTTGAAGGTGATATTGAGGAAGTATAACTTTATATCAGGTTTCGGACATAGCTTTTCCTAGTTTTCAAGAAAGCTGAAGTGGAAAAGGAGTTTGGGCACTTGATTATAAATGTAGGGGGGTAGAAATAGGAGTGACATTTCTTGAATACCCGTTATATACCAGACATTCTGGTATACACATTCTCTTTTTTAATATTCTTAGCTTTAAAAAAAGTGGGGAGGAGGGCTTATGATACCGGTTTAACAAGGGGGCAAAAGGAGCATGTAAAATGGAAACAACTTACCCCAGGTCACATTACTCCCAAGTGTTAAGGCTGATGTTCCTTCTTTCTGGCTTTCAAAGCTAGATCTTTTCCATGATGGCATCACAGCCTTTCTCACATGGAGTGGAATATGCCATTCGTTCATGTGAGATCCTGACATGCTGGATATGATGGAGTTCCTGAAACTTCCGTATTGTCACCTGGATTGCCTGATGAGTCAAAGGAGAGAGGGTGGAACTTTGTGCCTGGGGTTTTTGTTTTTGTTTTTGTTTTTTTGAGATGGAGTCTCCCTCTGTTGCCCAGGCTGGAGTGTAGCGGAGCGATCTCGGCTCACTGCAAGCTGTGCCTCACGGGTTCACACCATTCTCCTGCCTCAGCCTCCAGAGTAGCTGGGACTACAGGCGCCCGCCACCACGCCTGGCTAATTTTTTTTTTTTTGTATTTTTAGTAGAGATGGGGTTTCACCATGTTAGCCAGGATGGTCTTGATCTCCTGACCTCGTGATCTGCCCACCTGGGTCTCCCAAAGTACTAGGATTACAGGCGTGAGCCACTGTGCCCGGCCTATGCCTGGGTTTTTGTCTGAAGGAAGGGATATATGCTAGAAAGTAGGTGTGTAATTATAAAATATGTCCAGGAAATCTTAGAAGCTTTTTGTGCTTTCTTTTTTTAACTTATGAGATCTTTACTATGATGGCCTTGTGTTACTAAATTTAGTGAGCATTGGATACTTATAGGAGAATAATGCTTTCTTTATGGACTCCACCTACCCTAATTGAAGTGATGTCTGTTATCACTTTTTAATGCTTAATCATGAATTGTGAAAGTTAAATGTGTTTCATGTGTGGACTTTACTTGAAAATGTGTACCTGAAATGGAAAGTGAAGTACTATTCTCTCCTATTGTGAGAGGCATCTCTTTTCCTATAGCCATGATTTGCTAACTGTGTCCTGTGTTAAAAAACTCTAGTTTGCTTCTCTGTAGAGAATTATGTGTGTCCAGTGGAAATCCAAGTGCCTCTTCTTGGTAGTAAGATGTGTCATGCTGTACAAGTTCAGAAGAGATACAGTAGGTGTCACCTGTCACCTAGCAACAAGCATTCTTCTTTGTGTCTTTAGCTACTTTTCATTTTTAGTCAAAATAGCTATGAAAACGTAGCACTTAGATTTGCATTTATCTCCAGAAATATTTAGATTAACCTTCAAATATTTTTAGTTCCCAAGATAACTCACTGTGACAGATGAAACAGAAATAGCTTTAAGTAGAAGAAAAGCAACTTATGTGGTAGAAACCTTGATGCGCAGAGCAAGGCAAACTTGGACCTGTTACATAACATCACAGACTGACATGCACAAAGCCTGCCTGTCAACTTCCCTAGTTGGCTTTAAAAATTACAGTAACTGAATTGAATATGTATGTAAACCTTTATTAGTTGATTTTTAAAATCGGTGCTGGAAAACACAAGATCATAACTAATGAAGCAGTGATTTGTAAACTTGAATCTAGAAGACAGAATTCCAAATAAGATAACTATATCAGCACCACCATTCAATTCACTCGAAACAGAGCAACTAAATTACCTTTGAGCAGAGAGTGGAATCCCTGGCTAGTTAGATGTCTAGTGTGTTTCTCTGTCTCTATTTAAAGATACATAAAGGGATTCTCAGAGGATCTAGCAACAAGTATACTTATGGGTCCATTTTAATACATTTAAAATGTATTAAACACTAACCTTTAAAGACTGAGAACATAATAGATCATTTAAGATGTGATGAAGAGCAAGCAATCTGGTACTGTAGTATAATATAATGCCTGTACTCTGAGGTAATTGTGACAGAGTAGCTGCTTATTTGTTAAAGTGGATAGCATTCACTTTCACTATGGCCAGGGTCACTTCTGTTGTCCAGGGTGTACTGTCTTTGAGTTATAAAGGAACTTGAGTGATCATATGTGGAAATTTCAAGACAGAAAAAGAGAAAGGAAAGAATTTAAAAATCATTCTCTATTGCTTGCAGCTACTAAAGAGAAACAGGTGTAACTGGAATTTCTCCAGTCTCTCCTCTAAAACCATGAGTATTTACCCATGGTTCCAGGCAGCAATATTTTGGTTTAAAAGTAATCTTAAAATACTTTCAAAAGTGTAATATTTTATGCCTTGCTATTTTTCATGTTTTTCATATTGAAATAAGCGACCAATCCTTTGCTTTTCTTCACCTAATGACAATTGAGAAACATTTTTGAAGCCAGGAAAATGAGGACCAAAACCATGCGTCATGAGCATTTTGATGAGGCCACTGGCCTTTAAAACTTCTGTGCTTTGGGAAGATTTACTGGATAATTTCAGAAACCTATTTGGCAGAGCTAAGTAAATTTAATTCGGAAATTGATGAGCTATTAACTGTTATTGGAAATGTGCCATTTTCCTATTTTATATCATGGCTTGCTTTTGATAGGGATTGGGGGGAAAAACTAAAGGCCCCTTAGCATGAATAAAATTAGAGATGTATCTGTTCTATCATGTGGCCTCCATTTAGAGAAATCTTTTTTATTTCCTATTCGATATCTAGGCTGTTGATTAAAAAGTGGTAATTCTTACACGTATGACATTTAACATTTTACAGATTGCTGTATAAACATTACTGCAATTAGAGTAGGCAAGTATATAAAGCAGGTATTATTATTATTATTATCCTTGCTTCTTGGAGAAGAAAACTGGGCATCAAAGAGGTTGAACGAGTTGCTTAAGTTCACACAGCCGGAAGATAATAGAGGTGAGACTAGGGACAGACAGGTCTTCTCAACTCTAATCTGTGTCCTCATCTGTTACCTTCATTTGTGCTACTTAAAGTATGAGGGGCTGAAAGGCAAGAGATGAATCTTGAACACTCTCTTGGGAGCCTGAATTGGATGGAAAGCAAAAACTAGTTTTGTATCAGGCCGTCCCATGCTTTAAAAACTACAGAAATATAAATTTAAATTGTAGAAGGTTGCAAATGTAGATGGTATGACAAACCACGAAGAGCCATGCCATAAGATTTGGGACTAAGACAGGGGTTTGTAAGAACCTTGACATTATCTGACTTTTTCCTTGGTTATAAAATTTACCTCTGATCAGTTTCATCCTTATGTCTTCTCCTAGTGGGAATATAAATTGGTACAGCTAAGTGCGGTAGTGTAGGATGAGGTTACCTGGGGGAGTGGTGGTTGTAGTTTGCGGTGGGCTCTGCTTGCAGGCCTTGCCTTCTTCCTGATTGGAGGCTCTTTGTGTCTGTCCAGAGGAGGCATCCTTTCCATTTGCTTAAAGGCATCATTCAGACCAGCAGAGACTCTGGTGCACACCAGATTTACACGGAAGGGTGTTTATGTGTGATTCGTAATAAAAGTCACAAATTATAAGGCAAAAGTTAAGAAGTAAATAATGATATATTCCCTCAGTGGAGTATTATGAATTTTTGGATTAAGCATTATTAAGTTTATATGAGAACATGCCTATGGCACATTAAATGAAAAAAATTATAGAACTACCCTGTGAAAAATAATGAGCCAGGTTTTGATGTACCTTGATTGAACATTCGGCTAAGAAGTTGGAACCGATTGGATTAGATATATTTTGAAGACTAGAAAGGACAAAACATCTTTGAGAACACTGTGTGTTAGGTGACTTTTTAAGTATTTCAAAGGATACCATGTTATGGTTTAATCATGTTAAATAGAGGAATTATACTCTGAATTTCAAGAGAATGTTTTTAGTCTGCCACTATAATATTGAAATGTTGGATTCCCTTTTTAGTAGCATGCCTGGTAAAAGCTGTAGTGCATATTAGGGGACATGTTTTGAGACATTGTTATAGCAAGAGAGACATATATATTTAAAACTGGAATAAAATTAAAGGCCAGTTTCCTTCACTGGTCAAGCCTATGGAGCTTGTGAACTCTGCTGCATTTCATTTAAGGCCTTTATGAGTGAGTGAGTTCTTTTCAAATGTATGGAAACATACACAGGAAACCAGGCCCAGTGCTACGGCCCATAGACATTGGCACAGAATGGGCGCTGCTGAGAACTCCAGGGTGTGTCCCCTCTTGAGTGTAATTCCAAATGAAAAATAAAGTCAACTGTGCCTAATAAGCTGGCTCAACTGAATGCCAAAGAAAATTTGCCTCATGAAATGGAAATTCTGAAGCAAGTAACATAATGCTGAGAGAGAATACATAGGAAGACTTGTAAGATATATCCAAATAGGGCAAATGGTCTATTATAATCAGAACTCCCCAGCCCAATAATATTTAATGATTTGGTGATATCCTAATGGTCCTGGAGATTTTGGACCTTTTAGAAACCACATAAATATTTAATTTATATTTAATTTTTAAAAGAAGGGACATATATTAATTTAGATCATTTTTTTAAAGTTACTTGGGTATTGGCTGACATGGAACCACCGAATTTATTTGTATTCATTATTTTGCACATTTGTATCAACTGTAAAGAAACAATCATTTCCCCCAATGAAATGACATTACTTTAAATTCTCTCAGTTGCTAAGAATAATGAAGCCAAGGGTTCCAGTTTGAGTATTTGGGACTTCTCTTTTATACAGGAAATTTACTTATAAACCTTTTTTTTACTTGGCCATTTTCTCCTCAGCTGTCTCTCTCTGTTGCATCCCTTTCTTTTTATTCTCCTCCTCCCTTCCTCCCTCATTTTTGTCTAGGTCTTAATTATTTAGTGCCCAGGATCTTGTCCTAGTGTCATAGCTGGTGTTTTTCCCTCTACTGCATTTTGCCCTTTGATGGCTGCTGAAGAGCAAGCCAACAACACATAGCTGAAGAAAAGATATTCCTCAGCTCTATGATCACGAGCTTAAGGAACTGTAGAATTAAGATGTATTTTTTTCCCCAAAGGAGCAATAACATCAAGTTGTAGAACTTTCTCTCATCATTTGTCTTTGTGTTTTTCTTGCAGGATCAATGTGACTCTAAGAACAAATGGATGAATGAATATCCATATGAAGAGAAAAACAATAAAGGTTGGTTAGTCAGATGTTAAAATTGCATTGAAAATATTGCTACTTTGAGCATTACTTTTGGGCAGTTTATTCTCATTAGAGTACCTTCTTGTGTGAATACGAGACAGAGGTCAGTACTTACATGTGCATATCTATCTGTAAAATGTAATTTTTCCTTTTAGCCCCTTAAAAAATTATATGGAAGCAACTCCTCATTTTTTTCCTGCAAGTCTAGCTGTAATTCTTTTCCAGAACTTAAGCTGGTATTTTAAGAATCAACTTTCAGATGAATATTAAAAAATGGAAAACTGCTTGATGCAACTGATCACTGGTACAAAAAAAGAAGCCAGATTTTTTTTAATATACATCAGTTTTCTACAAACATAATTCTAATACCAGTGCCATATGGTGCATGATTGCTGTCAAATGCAGTCCTATGCCCCTGAAGTCTCTGCTTTTCTCCTAGAAGTAGGATCATCATGGAAAACTTTAATATTTGGTTTCTTACAAATACAGTATGAATGAAAGTGTGGTGGTGGGGGGGGCGCTGTGAATTTCAACAGTCCTCAAATGGTGGGTATTACCTTATTTGTGGTAGTTGAGATTTTCTTGTAGTTTCTACTGGTTACAATGTAAAAATCATAGGTGACACTAAGAGAATTACAATATGTTAAACCATCTCTATTTCGTAAGTAGGGTTTTACACTGAACAGGTCTCATACAGAAGCATGTGCCTCATAATTCCTCATGTAGCTGCTCAGCAATACAATTTCATATTTTCCTTCCCATATTACTCTTGCTGCTTCCAAATCAATGCACAACTTGCTATGTCTTTTTCTGCCAGCCTACCTTCACAGCTACTTACAAGTGATTTTCAAGGTTGTATCTTTCACTTAAATTGCCTTCTTCCATCCTCATTGCTAAAATTGCTCCTTTCTAGTATTTGTAAAGTGTTTAGACCTGTGGAGGCATATTGATTCAGATATTGTTCAAGGGAGACTTCTGCAGGTATCAGTAATGTTCTTTTTCATGACCTCAGTGTTGCCTGTGTGGGTGCATTCACTTAGTGAGGATTAACTGTACTGTGGACTTATTTGCATGTGGATCAGTGGTGTGTTAGTAAAGTGGTTCTCTGGGAGAAGGAGGGGAGAGGAGAGGCCTGATTGTAGTGTTTGTCAATTCCTGTGGTGTAATTATTCCCATTATGGATGGTTTCAAGGCTTTACCACCTGGCTTGCAAGATTCCTTAAAATTCAACAATTGGCTCTCATGAGCAGGGGATGAGCTAGCTCCAGCATACCATTGATAATTCCATTTATACAGTAAAGTTAAAAATTTTATGTATTCCTTAAGACTAGAGTGGCAAAGGTAGTAAATTTACTTTTCTCTATGTAAACATGGAAATGTTCTTTACCTATCATGCAAAATGTATTTATCCCTTTCCTTTAGAAATGATGTTGAGATAGTATTTCTTTATGTTTTTGTTCAGTTGTCATTAAATTTTTATATTTGAAAAGATCAATGTTAGCTTTGTAAGTTTATAAATTTTGGCAGTGTCATGTTCTGTAACTAATTTTTATTATGACAAATGAAGATGATGGCAAAAAGAATCATTGTGTTACTAGTTACCCTGAGGACAGACCCTGAAAATATTATGATTGACTGTAATTTATGTGATTCATTCTGAACAATTGTGCCTTATAGCTCATAATTCATGAATTCAAAAGTCTTTAAGGAGAAAGGAGCAGTGAGTATTTAATTTAATGTGTTTGTCCCATTGAGATGGAGTCTCGCTCTGTCACCCAGGTTGGAATGCAGTGGCGCGATCTCGGCTTACTGCAACCTCTGCCTTCTGGGTTCAAACATTCTCCTGCCTCAGCTTCCCAAGTAGCTGGGATTACAGGTGCGTGCCATGTTGCCTAGCTAATTTTTTGTATTTTTAGTAGAGACAGGGTTTCACCGCGTTGGCCAGGCTGGTCTTGAACATCTGACCTCAAGTGATCCTCCCACCTTGGCCTCCCAATGTGTTGGGATTACAGGCGTGAGTGACTGTGCCCAGCCTCACTGCTGTGTGTTTAAAAAATGATTTTTCATACATTTTATCCATTGTAGATGCGTTTGAACAGAGAATACATTGATGCTTGTTTTTAAGTCTGCTTGAATCAGATGCTGTTAGTTTTAACAAAGTCTGATTCAGGGAGAAAATTGCAGAGTTTGAAAATTTATCTTTTTTTACATTTCAAATACATTGACAAAGTCAATATTAAGACGAAGTTTTTAAAATGTCAGCAGTGGAAGCTGCATTGCCATAGTTGAAAAGGGATTTGAATATGGCTTTTACAACTGTTTTGTACGTTTCCAGTTTGCCAGTGGTGACAAAATCCTGCCAAGAGCCACAGAATATCATGCTGTGCCTTTCTGCTTAGGTTCTAAAATTTAAATAGCCTACTTGGGATTTATAAAATTTCTGTTGTGTCCATACTGAGAGTTTTACTTTCAGGAGCAGTCTTCATCCACCCTTTCCTTAAAAACAAAAACAAAAACAAACAAAAAACAAACACAACTTTTGCATTAAGTTTTTCTTTACTTCATTAAGTTACTTCCTTTACTCAGCTTCATTGCACTTGGATTTGTCCCTTTACCATCTGCCTTTAGAAAACGACAAATAAATTCTAAAAAGATTCCTGTTGTCCATTATTTCCTGCTCACAAATACCAGCATAAAATCTGGTGGATACACACTTCAGCGTATTTCAGCAGTTGTCCTCTCTGTGAATATGGTGGCTTGTTGTGGACCTGGCTCCTTGCTTTGCTTCATTTTTCTTTCCCCCAGCCATTTCAATATGTTTACCCAGTGCTTCTCAGCAGCTGGCTTAGAGCAGGTGTTCAGAACATACCCATCCCACATATACATTAGTCCAGCTTATCAGAGTTCACATTAAAACTTTGCTTTGCGACTACCTCTGATGAACAGCTGCCTAACCACCTAGCATTAGCAGTGGGGTGACTTTTACTTTATGCATTTGGAAATCAAGAGAACAAGAGCAAGCCTTTCTGTGAGCGATTTCATGCCACACAAAAAGGGTTTATTTCATAGTGATGGTTGTGTAGCTTGTGGTTGCTTTAAATTTCTTTTCCAAGTTCCAAGGCTCTTTCTTCGCACAGGATAGAGGGATTGTAATAGCAGCAATCCAGCTTTTCTTCCATTTTGAACTAAGTAGCCATAGCTGCTCCAAAAGCTGCAATTAATGTAAATGAAATGGATTGTTAGCATTGGCTGCTGTAAGTGTATGTAGGGTAGTTGCCTGGACAATAAAAGTGGAATCAAAAAGAGGCAGGCCTTAGCTCTGCAATTATCTGTCTGTTTGATCTGGAACCCCAGTGCCCTCTCCTTTGTGAATTTTAACTTTCTCATCTGCAAAGAGGAACTAATAACACCTGTCCTGCCTATTTCAAGAGTTGCTATGGGTGTGAAAAAAGGACATTCTTGTGAAAAAGGTTTAAAACTGTCAAGTTCTAAAAGTGTGCATGGTATTGATATTATTTGTTTTTTAGTGTGAGAGAGCTTCATGACATTGTATGATTTCACATCACAAAGTCAGACATTTTCAGAAATCGAAGTGCCCTCAAAGGTCATTAATTCTAACATGCACTTGGTGCATGGCTACTATCCGTAAGACTTGGTTGGCTGCATTAGTGTTATGTTGAGCACGCCTTGGAATTTCTTAGTTCGTGTTACATTCATCCTATTTCCAGGCATATATAATCGTACTAAAAGTTTTTTTTATTGAGCCACATCAATAGACTTGATAATGATACCAACTAGTATGTGTATCATAGTATTTATTAAAATATCGTCTTGAATTGGGTCACTCCTTTTACTGTCAAGTCACTTCAGTGTTGGGTATCTTATTTATCTGGGAAATGGGAACAAAATGATATGCAGAGATTTGGGAAAGATTATGGAATTATTGAAGGAGAGAAATAGCTTCATTATTTGAAAAGATGATGCGTTGCTCATTTTAAAACCATTAAAGCATGCAAAGCCCCATCATCTCCGTGCCTCATATCTTCTGTTCATATTCGGTGAACATTATTTATAGCTTCTCTGTGTACATACATACAAATAATTAGAAACGGTTTTTTAAAAATAAGATCATATTTATACCTTGCATCTCTTACAAAGAATATTTTTTAGTTTGCTTCTGATGGAATGAAAAAAATAAGAATTGAATTTAAGCCTAATAGATTAATTTCATATTAATATCCTTTTACCAAAATGATATTATTAACAGTTAATTAAAAAAAACCCAAACTTTGAATTCTGTTTTTTGAAATGACTGAATTTAACTTGAAACAGAATCTTTTGACTTTTTGTTAGAAAGATGGGAAAATTAACAAAGTTTCTTCCTGACTCCCTTTTTCCTCTTTTTGTTTTACTATTCTTTTAAAATTAAGGTTATTCACATTTATTTTATGATTCTTAATTGTAATTATCAAAGCTATGTAGTATTATTACTTCCCTCAGAAATATGGAGACATGGCTTCCCTGTCATCTGGCATTTGGTGTCACTGTGAAGTTTGAAGCAAACTGATCTTTTCACTTGTTCTTGTTTTGTTTTTTTTGTCCAGGATGCTAATGAACAATTTATTTTAAACCTGAAAGTTCAGGAACTTCATCAATTGTTTTACTTTTTGTCATTCTGTTCCATTTTTTCTTGGATCTTGCTCTTAATCTCTGAGAAGTAGAGTCTGTTTTTATGACAGGAAGTTTTAAAATTTTATTTAAAGTACACTATTTTGTTCTTCTCTTTAGTAACCCTGATAATATGTGTGATGTTTCTCCTTGATTTTCCATATCTGTGGCCTTCATCTTTAACTTTTTAATTTCACTCAGTGTGCTTTCAAGTTGAACTTTTTAAAAAACTATATTTTCAGTTAAATTATTTACTTTTTTGTTCCCAAGGTGGCTATATTTCATAGCTATGTCGACTTATTTTCGTTTCTTTTAGTTTTCTGTTATTGTATTACGTGAACCCTTGTACTTCCTGAACTTACACTTGTACCTCTGCCTTGAACTTTTTTTTTAAAGAAACTTTTATGTGTAATTATTTTAATTTTTTGGAGTCTATGAAGAGATATTTGTCTAAATTCCTCATCTGTTTGCTTGGGTTATTTCTCCTGTGATTGTTCTTCATTGGCCTCTTGCTTACATTTCTCTCTGGCTTTTGGTATTTGCTGCTTTTACCTGCAGTTCTCATGGACTCTCCCTGAGTATCGCTTATCTTTATATGGGGCTAGTGTTTGCCAGAGCACAGTATCAGCAGGAGCACTGGTGATTTGGGTATGAGCTAGTGAGTGCAAATCTTTGACTTGATTTTGTTATTTCAAATACTGTGTAAATAAGGGTGTCATTTCCAGAGTCTGCTCTGCTTCCATTGGACAGCAGTGCCCCTTAAGTGAAGGGCTCCTGTCTTCCTTCCTTCTGCCACGTCATGAGGGAGCGCATGAACCCCTTCATGAGGGAGCTAGGCTCCACAAAAGGCAGTGCCTGTGTGTTTGTTCTTTCAACAACACTTTCTCTGCTTTCTGAGAAATTGATCTGTATTCACTTAGTCTGATGTCTATCGTAATCAAAGGGTCATTGAATAGGTCTTGTGTAACTGTGATTTTTACTTTTAGGAAATTCTGTGTTTTGTTTGAGGTTTGAGGAGCTGTTTGTCAGCTCCCAGTTGCCTCTCACATTTCACAGTATTTGACAGATGTGCTTTGATTGGGAATTTGAGTTTGTGACTTTTAACTCTCACTAAAGGTGGAGGGTTTATTTTTTATTTTTTTATTTGCTTTGCCCTTTTTCAGTGGGTTTTAAAAGAAGGCTGTAAAAATGCCTTTACATTGCCATTTTGAATAAGTAACCTTTTAAATGGATTTAAGGGGCACATGGAGAATATTGAACTTGCTGTGGTGTTTAAAAAAATGACTTTGTACTCAGATTGTCTGGTTTCCATCCTGGTTCTGCCAGTGTTCAACTTTGCTTGTATATTTCAGTTGCCATGTCTGTGATATGGCAATAACAGTAATAGTTCCTACTCCATAAAATTATTGTGAAGGTTAAATGAGAAAAAAATTCTAAAGCATTTGCATATTGCCTGGTAGTTACTAGTGCTCATTAAAATAGCTGTTTTTATCATTTTAAGCTGTGTTAGTCATGTTTACAGTATAGTCAGTTTAGCTTTAGGAAAATTGGCTACTTAGACCAGCATTTGTATATTTTATTTCCTTTGACTGAAGAGCATGCTGGGATGGGTACCAGGTGTTCTTCTTATATGGCAGCTTCTGGTGTTGGGGTCTGACTGGGGACTTCCAAATTGTTCTACTCTGTGTTGATAAAGAATAGAATCATCGCCAATTCTCTTGGAGGAAATAACATTGGATATGCTGTGGTAGTTGGGGCATATGTTATTGGTTCACTTACAGAATGTTGGCAACTTCTGTCCTGTGGTGTTGCAAACACTACAATTCAAACATATATTTAGCATTTATTATTTGTTAGACACTGGGCTAGAAAGACAAATTGTATTTAGACTCTGCCTTGAAGACTTCATTATCTCAGAGATGGGCAGATAAGTTTCTACAGTTGTATGTGATTGGTGCCATAATATATTTATTAGAGCCAGGGAATTGGGATGTGGGTTCTGGAAGGCTTCACATTTAAAGTGACATTTGAGCTAGACCTTGAGTTGCCAGTATGACACTGACTGTAAGAAATGGGAGCAGCCAAGAAAAGTTAGTTTAGAAAAAATTCTTAGCAAATGCAAAAGGGTGTATTTTTTCTTTGGGCACAAAAGTGCCCTGAAAAATTTCTTCTTAAAGATAAATGTGTGATAATCAATGATTCCAGGGGATCTACTGGAAGTGGCAGAATGAAGGAAGACAGGAGCCCTTCTCCTAAGGGGCACTGCTGTGCCATGGAAGCAGAGGGGAGACTCTGGAAATGACATCTTTATTTAGACAGTATTTGAAATGACAAACACAAGTCAAAGATTTACATTTCGGCCAGAATCTGTTGAGGCTTATTTCTTTTTCTACCTTCCTCTCCTTCCTTGTCTCACTCTCACTCTTTCCCTCTCTACCCTCCCTCTCCCTGCAGTTCCTCTTTCCTCTTCCCCCACTTCCTCTTTCCTCCCACTTCATCTACCCCCCCACTTTCTCTCTCCTCTCCCACTTCTTCTCTCCCCTCTCCAATTTCCTCTCTTCCCCTCACTTCCTCTTTCCTCCCACTTCCTCTACCCCCCCACTTTCTCTCTCCTCTCCCACTTCTTCTCTCCTCTCTCCAATTTCCTCTCTTCCCCTCACTTCCTCTCCCCCCACTTTCTCTCTGCCTCTCCCTCTCCCCTCTCCCACGTCTGCTCCCTCCCTCCCTTCTTCTTTTTCTCTTCCCTGTTTACACATTTTCATTCTCTGGCCACTTGATTATAGTGGTTCTTCAGCTAAGCTATTTAGAGTACCTTACCAAAGTAATTATTATATTTTACCAGAAATTTTCAAGAGTGATCATAAAAATGATACAAGTGTCTTTCAAATATCATTTTAGTTAAAATTTTTTTACTTACTGAGAACATTATAGTGTTAAAGCAGCATAGTAATTGATTATTAAAAACATTTATTGAAGTATAATATCTATATAGTTTTATGTATCAACAGTTGTATATTATTTTAATAAGGCAGCTTCTTCCCTTCTCTTAAGCTGATGTTAGGTGAGAATTTCTTACTTTTTCTAAAGAATTTTATTTAATAATGTTAATAATTATTGACTCAAGAAGTGTGATTTTTTGTGTCTTACACGTAATCAGTTTTTCAGTGTATCTTATAGTCTAATGGAGTGTAAGTTTCTCAAAATTCCAATTTAAGAATCAATTGATTATTCATATTTAACATGCTGCTTCAACTATTTGTGCTTTTAGAGCAAGACACTTAATATGAAAGTGAATTTATTTTTATTAAAGGCTTTTAATTTGTTTTCTATGGCCACTGTAACAAATTACCACAAACTTAGTGGTTTTGAAAAAAAAACACAAATTTATCTTACAGTTCTGGTGGTCAGAAGTCCAATGGTCTCACTGGGCTAAACTCAAAGTATTGGGAGGATTATATTCCCTTCTGGAGGTCCTAGGACTGATTCCATTTCCTTACCGGCCTCTAGAGCCTACTCAGGTTCCTTGGTCCATTCAACTCCAGCAGCTTTGGGCCAAGTCCTTCTGGTACTGCCATCTCTCTGGTTCTCCCCTTCTACCTCCCTCCTTCACATTTAAGGACTATTGTGATTACTTTGGCCTATCCTAGATAATCCAGGATGATCTCCTTATTTTAAGGTCAGGTGATTAGCAACTTTAATTCCATCTGTGACTTTCATTCCCCTTTGCCATGTAACCTAACAGATTTCAGGGATTAGGACATGGACATCTTTAGGGGGCCATTACTCTGCCAGCCACAGGTTTTCAAAAACGTAAGTGACTGTGATTGCAGGTACATGTTACCTTTGTCATAAACATGTGGTTGGGAATTTTGAAAGAATTCTCATTTTGCTAATTCCATTAATAGTCAAGCAAATTATGATTTATGTCAATCAAAATATAATTTTCTTCCTTCTTGTGATTGGAAGAAAAAAGTCCATTCAAATCACTTTTGCAGCTAAATGAAGCAAGTGATAATATTAAAATTTCCCATTATAAAAAATCTAATAAATATCTAATTTTTTGCAAACAGTAGATTGTTTACCACAGTTTCACATGGTGATACTATGGTTTTATGTGCCTTCAAAGCTAGATGAACTACTTTTAGAATTCATCAGACCTTTTGGCCTAACAAATTTTCCTTTGTTTTTGAATGTTGTTATTTGTAGCGTATCTGATAAAACTGAAATCTAGTTTCAGGAAACATGTTTGGTTATCTCGTTAAAAGCTCTTGAGGTGATAGCATGCACTTACTTACAACCCATACACTTACTAAGACATCCTGTATCTCTTGCAGCTGTGGCTCCGGAGCTGTATTTAAAGTTTAGTTAATACCTAGCCAGCAGCTATCTATTGAAATTAACAGATAGGCTAGGGCTGTTGCCTCTTTCAGGGTAGTGAGATCCTTTAGATTTCAAAGAACTTTTTCTGGGGGAATTTTTTTGATTGTTTTTGTTATCAAAGTGAGGAAAAGTTCTGTATAGCTTTTTCTTTTCATCCGTCTTCACACAGCAGAGAGTCTAAGGGGAGCAAAATCTGTGAGAGGGGCCTTTTGCAGTTTTAATAGCTTCACATCTCAGGGATGACTCCTTTAATTTAGAGTGCTAATAGCTGGCATCTAGGGGAAAATGAAAGGCCGCTTGACAATGAGAAGCTGGAAGATTGAGAGCAAACACATGGAGAGTCGTTAGAGCCAGGACTGTAAGTAAAAAGGGGATGGTAGTTACACAGAGTCTGGGGTTTGGGACCCTGAGCCTGGTTTAAAGCCTCCTTCTAATGTTGCACACTGTGATAATCACTGGTTGTCGGCCTTGCACCCTTCTGCCGTGAGTAATCCCTTTCCCTGTTTTCAATCATGTGCACTCAAATTGAAGGGTAGGTGTTCCTTTTTAACTGAGAGTTGAGTGTCCTTTTTAACTGAGAGTTGGAATCTGGGCACCTTGTGACAACCACGATTTCATCATCCATTGCTGCAAAACAGAGCATCCCAGGTTAGTGGCTTAAAGCAAAAGCAGTATGTGTTTTGCTCTTGAAGTGGCTACTTGGGTAGGACTTGGTGGAGTCGGCTTCTCCTTGCTCTGCTCAGTGGCTGCTGAGGTTCAAAGGCGGATGACTGCAATCATGAAGACTCTCGTCGACATGTTTTCCAGTTAGTGCTGGCTCTCAGCCAGTCTGTTGGCTGCAACGCCTTCATGTGGCCAAGGCTTCCTTAACAGTAAAGCTGCGCACTGGGGAAGGTGGGTGGGGGGATAACACCAGGCAGAAGCTGTGTCACCCTTGGAAGTGATGCCATGTGATTTCCCCCATATTCTGTTCATCCAGGTGATTATAAAGACAGGCTCATTAATTCAAAAGGAGGGGACATATCCCCCACCCCTTGATGGGAGAGTGGAAACATTCTGGAAGAGCACATGTGACTGGAGATACTGTAGTGAACATTTCTGGAAAACAGCATCAGCTACAGTTCATCTTCAAACTGGAGGAATCCGTAACGTTTTGTTTTTCTGGAACTAGTTCTGGTGCCAAATTCTGTATCAGTTGGGGTGTGAAAAGAGAAACAGAATGAGGGGAAAGGTGCCGAATATGGGACTTAAAAGGACTTGACCTCCTATGATGGTAGGAACTAGTTAAGCACATTATATATGGCTGTTGCTTCTATATATTTGGCGCCAGAGCTGAAATCACCAGGGCTAGCAGTCGGGAAGGAAGGATGAGAGTGGAGCGCAGGAGAGGAAGGCCACACTGGATGTACAAGGGCACATGCCAGTCCACATAGACCCTCACTGATCATAAGCCTCTAACTTCAGAGAGGCCAGGGAACTGTGGGAGAAGCTGGCACCCTTCCCTGAGCAAGACGCGTCATGGCCTATGAATAAAATAAGCAGATGAAGGCAATCCCGTGGACCAGCCGCTTCCCTGTGCCAGCGAGGAGAGCAGGCACATAGGCGACAGTGTGTGTGAGCTGCACCTTCCCAGTGTGAGATGCATGCGGCAGGTGCTTCACTACTGCCCCGAGTCCCGCCAGGGTGGCTCTTATAACCCAAAAATGATGGCATGCTGCAGGGAAGACAGTTCTGAAAATGTAGACATGTAGTTGAGATAGTTCAAATCCACCACCAAGTCTTTCCTTGCCTCTTCTCTGCCATTTCACTTGCAGCTCTACCTGCTTGCTGTCCTCCCCACCCGAGGATCTTATAGAGGATTATAGACCTCTGTTGGTTCCTGTTCTTTCCTTGATTTTCCCATTTCTGTCTGAAGCACTGCTCCTGGGACCCACCCTTGTAGTGGAGAGGACAGTGCTGTCACATGAATGGACGTCTCCACATGAGGAAGGCTCATCTGCCCTAGAATACCACCTGCCTGGATTCACTGCTTATGAATTCTGCACGACTCTGAGAACCTGCAAGATTATTTGTGGCCTCTTCTTGCTTTTTCATATGGTACTTGACTCAGTTACTGCTGTCTGTTGTGGTTGAGGCCACTCTGCTCCCTGGATTTGGGATCTTGACTGCCTGTCTATAATGCCATAGACCAGTCAGGCTGGGGCCAGGGCTTTGTGGCCTCAGGGATTTGTGATTGAGAGTTTAGGAAAGAGAAAACATAATATGAGGAAAAGGAGGATTCTGATTTTGTACATGATGGAAATATGTGAATAATTGGGACACCAGGGACTTGTCCAGATAGTAAAGTTTAGAGCAAAGTTATGAGCAAGAATGATAGCAATAGTTTGTATGCAGAATATGAATGAATAATATAAAGGCTGGGAGTAAGTTAGAGGCAAGATTGGCAGGCAGTAACTGGGAGGACACGGTGCTGGAGAACACCCGATAAGCAGGAATGTAGTTAATTCAGACAGAGGTTCACGAACCAGAAGGCACTGATACTGGAGAGAAGAATGGGATGGGTAGTGAAAGGTCCGTGCTGACATCACTAAGTTGAATCATGCTGGCACCAAGAAAGGTGGTGGCATAGGGCAGCTTCTGTACAGCAGGGCTGGAAAGCAAGTGGCTTTTTAATCGCATGTTAAGTCTTAGACTGTGCCAGGGTTGGTTGCCTGGCGTTCTGGTTGAGCCATAGTACAGGACTAGGAAACCCTGTACACTTGAACTTCCAGGAACAAAGATAAAGGGATTCCTTGGTGAGAGGAGTGATGGTAGACAGGGACAGGGTGCGAGCCTCATACTGGATAAGTATTAAGCTGCCTTATAGAGATCTTTTCAATGAATATTTGAACAAGAGGATGAATGAAATGTGAGTAAGAGCAAAAGAAGGAGAATGAGAGAAAAATGAGAATGAATTTTACTTTTTTTTCTTTTTTTTTTGGAAAAAAAGTGTTAAAGAGTATGATTATATGTGACAGAAGAAAGAAAAATGAAATCCTGAAATAAATGAAAAGTGGGTGACAGAAAACCTGAAATACTGAACATTTCTTTTATTAAGATAGAGTTTTCCAGTATGTGGTAGATGAGGGAAAGGGTCTGGTTTACAGGACTTAACTATGAGAAAAATGGCAAGAGAGGGATTTTCCTAAGCAGTTACTCTCCATGGCTAGGCTGATATCTTGGTAAAAATGCTCTGAATGTACTGCTTAGGCTATTGCTAAATATAGTAACAAATATGAAGAGTGTTTTTTTCCTATACCAAGTGTATTTATGATTATAAATCTACACATTTGTGATAACCCAACAATTTTATAATAAGGCATCTAGCAACAAGATTTCTTTTTTATTTTTTAATGGAAGATATCCTTTCTGACAGTTGTCTTTGCCTAAGTGTACATTTACCTTTCAATGATGGAAGATATCCTTTCTGACAGTTGTCTTTGCCTAAGTGTACGTTTACCTTTCAATAATGGAAGATATCCTTTCTGACAATTGTCTTTGCCTAAGTGTACATTTACCTTTCAATGCATATGGGACCAAGAAAATCCCCAAAATGGAACCTCCTCCTCCTCCTTCATTTCTTTTAGTTTGTTGAGTGTTCTGAGGATTTTCTTAACCACTTTTCCTTGTGCTTTTTGTATTGCAAATTAAGTTTCTATTCATGCCTTAAAAATAAAATAACTGCTTCTGTTGTGTGATGAGCATATCACCTTAATAAAGCAAATCCTAGTCAATGAAGTTAATGTTTTTCAAAATCAGACTTTGAAAGTTCTTGTTTAACCAATTAAAAGAATTAATCACTCTAGTCAACAAAGCACAGGGGAGATAATTTATTAAGTATTTGAAAGATAAAAAAGAATATATATGTATTGACTGTGTAAGTTGTAAGCCATGATAACAGAGAAACCTAACTTAAAAAAGTAGATTGTTTCCAGTATTTTTTTTCAAGACCCCTTTTAGTCCCTTTCTTAGCCTGTCTGGGCTGCTGTAACAAAATACCTTAGACTGAGTAATTTATAAATACTAGAAATGTATTGCTCAGAGTTTGGAAGCTGGGAAGTCCGAGATGAACTCTCCAGCAGATTCAGTGTCTGGCCAGGGGTTACTCTTAGCTGCATTTTCTCTTGGCAGAAGGGACAAGGCAGCTTCGTAAATCACCTCCTAAAAGGCACCGCCTCTTATTACCACTGCAGTGGAGATTAGGATTCAACACGAATTTTGGAGGGACACATTCAGACAGTAGCAGTCTCACACATAACCATTTATCCTGAATTTTGTATTATAATTTCCTTTCTTTTCATCATATATAAGTACATGTTCAAACTATGTATCATTTACTTTTGTTTGTTTTGAGACATATGAATAGTACCATACTGTTTATATTTTTATGATCTGCTTTTTTTACTTGACATTGTTGTTTTTGATATTCATTCACATTGATGCGTATAGGTAAGATTATTTATTTCCACAAATGAATAGAATTCTATTTTATGACTACACCATAATTTATCCATTTTTCAGCAATGGACATTCCTATTCTTTTAAGCTTTTTGCTATCTTAAACCTGCTATGAAGAGTCGTTTAAATGTGTCCTGGTACAAATATAGAAGATTTTCTCTGGAATATATACCCAGAAGTAGAATTGCTGGATTGTAGAGAAATTTTCAACTCTCCTGGATAATGTCCAATTGTTTTCCCATGTAGTTGCAATAGTTTTTTGTTTGTTTGTTTGTTTGTTTCTGAGACAGGGTCTTTGTCTCCCAGGCTGGAGTGCAGTGACACAAACACAGCTCACTGTAGCCTCAACTGCCCTGGCTCAAGCAATCCTCCTGCCTCCATATCCCAAGTAGCTGGGACTTCAGGCAGGCATCACCACGCCCGGCTAATTTTTGTATTTTTTATAGAGACAAGGTTTTGCCACGTTGCCCAGGCTGGTTTCGAACTTCTGGCCTCAAGTGATCCTCCTGTCTTGGCCTCTCAGAGTGCTGGAATTACAGGTGTGAGCCACTGTGCCCAGCCTGCAACAGTTCCTAAATAGTACTGTTTAATAGTCCCATTTTACCACGTCCGTACTAACTGTGGGTGTCTGCTGACATTTGAAGATTTTTCAATCTGGTGTGCGTTAAATAGTGTCTCACTGTAGTTTTAATTGCATTTTGTTATTAATGGTTCATATGTTTATTGATTATTTGGACTTCAGCTTCTTTGGAATCATTTTTGTCTTTTGACCATTTTTCTATTGAATGGTCATCTTTTTTGGTAGGGATGATGGGGTAGATATTCAGGATTGATTAAATGTATAGAAATTATTTTCTCTGAGATGGTAGATTTTTACTTTTTATTTTGATTTAATATTTAGTTTTGTTGAATTTATAAATATGTTTAATGCTTTTTCTATTCAACTTCATCATGATAATTTTATATCCCACTGGGATATGTTTAGTAATATTTTATATAGGATATTTGCATCTATTTTCATAAGTGAGATTGGCTGTAACTTTTAAAAAAATATTCTGACTGGGTTTTGGTAGCTATGTTAGAATCTTTTTCTATCTTTTGGAAGAATGTGCATAAACAATTATCTACTCTTTAAGGATTTGGTAGAACCCATTTATCTGGGATGAGTGGCTTTTTGTGGGTAAAATTTGAACTTAAAATTCAATTTTTAATGGTAATAAGACCAGGTTTTCAGTTTCTTCTTGAGTCAGATTTGATAAATTGTATTTGGTTTATTGTAAGCTTTCAAATGCATTAGGGTAAGATTGTACTAGTTTGCTAGGGCTGCATAACACAGTACCACAGATTTCATGACTTAAACAACCGAAATTTATTTTCTCACATTTCTGAGGGCTAGAAGTCCAAGATAAGGTCTCAGCAGGGTGGATTTTTTTCTGAGGCCCCCTCTCTGGCTTGGAAATGGCTGTCTTCACCCTGTGCCTTCACGTGGTCTTTTTTTTCTGTGTGTCTTTGTGTCCTAATCTCCTCTTCTTATAAGAACACCAGCCATTGAAGTAGGATCTACCCATATGACCTTATTTTATCATAATTACCTCTTCTGAAGTCCCTATCTCTAAATAGAGTCTCAATATTCTGAGGCTCTACAGGTTAGGACTTCAACATATGAATTTCTGAAGGGACAAAATTCAGCCCATAACAAAAATGTTCACAGTAGTCTATTATATGTTTAACCTCGCTGTATCTGTACTTATGTCTCCCCTTGTGCTTTATTTAGTTTATTTCATAATGATTGATTGCTTTTACATTATTTTTTCATTTGGTAAATATTACCAAGGATTTGACAATTTCATAGTCTTTCCAAAGCATTTCCTTTTGTTTATTTCCATTGTATCTTTCTTCTCTATTTTGTTAGCTTTGTCTTTTTCTTAAAATTTCTGAGTTTATTCTCATATTCTTTGTCTTCTAAATTTAGTTGCTGAGAAAATTAATCTTTAATTAAAAAATTTCTCTCCAGACAGCATTAGCTGTATTCCATGATTTGTGTGTGTGTGTGTGTGTGTGTGTGTGTGTGTGTGTGTGTGTGTTTAAAAGCAGACTGTTTTTAAAAGAAATGTTAGGTTCATAGCAAAGTTGAGCAGAGTAAGTAGAAATTTCCCATAATTGCCTCTGCTCCGACACACATGTAGCCTCTCCCATTATCAACATACCCCACCAGGATGATACGTTTATTACAGTTGAGTGAGTAACCTACCTTGAGGTATCATTATCACCCAAAGTTCCTGGTTTATATTAGTGTTTCCTCTGAGTGTTGTATATTCTACGGGTTTTAACAAATGTACAATGGTACATATCCTCTGATATAGTTTCATACAAAGCAGTTTCACTGCCATGAAAATCCTCAGTGCTCTTCCTGTTCATCCCTCTGTCTCCCCAACCCTTGGCAACCACTGATTGTTTTATTGTCTTCATAGTTTTACTTTTCAAGGATATTGCATAGTTGGAATTATAATAGTGTGTAGCCTTTTCAGATTTGCTTCTTTCACTTAGCAATATGTATGTAAGTTTCCTTCATGTCTTTTCATGACTGATAGCACACATTTCCTTTTAGTACTGAATATTTCATGGTCTGGATGTCTCAGTTTATCTGTTCACCTACTGAAGGATACCTTGGTTGGTCCCTACTTTTGGCAACTGTAAGTAACACTGCTATTAACATCGGTATGCATATTTTTGTGTAGATATATATAAGTTTTCAACTCATTTGGCTAAATACCAAAGAGTAAGATTACTAGATCATTAAGCCTGGAACCTGGACTTTGGGAGGTTAAAAAATAAAAAAAGAAATGATTGGTGGATCCTAAGGTAAGAGTTAGTTTACTAACTAGGAGTCTAACAAACTGTCTTCCAAAGTGGCTGTTTCATTTTGCTTTCCCACCAGCAATGAGTGAGAGTCCTTGTTGCTCCACATGCTCGCCAACATTTGGAGTTGTCAGTGTTCTGGATTTTGGTTATTCTGAGCGTGGTGTTGTATCGTTGTTGCTTTAATTTGCATTTCCCTGATATCATATAATGTGGAATATTTTTTTCATATGCTTATTTGCCATCTTTATATCTTTTTCAGTGAGGTCTCTGTTAAGGTCTTTGGGACATTTTTTTACACTCTTTTTTTTCTGAACTTTGCGTTCTTTGCATATTTTGGATAACGGTCTTTACAGATGTGTCTTTTGCAAATATTTTTCCCCAGTCTGTTACTTATCTTTTCATTCTCTTGACAGTGTCTTTCACATAGCAAAAATTTTTCATTTTAATGAAGTTCAGCTTATCAGTTATGTCTTTCATGGATTGTGTCTTTGGTTTTGTGTCTAAAAAAATCATCTTTGAACTGAGGATCATCTAGATTTTCTCTTAAAGTTGTTTTCTAGGGTTTTAGAGTTTTACATTTTACTTTTAGGTCTGTGATCTGTTTGGAGTTAATTTGTATAAAAGGGTATAAGCTCTGTGGCTAGATTTAGTTTTTTGCACATGGATGTCAAGTTGTTCCAGCACCATTTGTTGGAAAGACTATCTTTGCTCCATTTTATTGCCTTCGCACCTTTGTTAAAGATTAGTTGACTATATTTATGTGGGTCTATTTCTGAACTCTGTTCTGTTCCACTAATCTATTTGTTTGTTCTTTTGCCAAGACCAGACTGTCCTGATTATTACTGTAGCTTTATAGTAATTCCTGGAGTCAGGTAATGTCATTTCTTCAACATTGTTCTTCTTCAATATTATATTAACTATTCTAGGTCTTTAGCCTCTCTCCACATAAACATTAGAATTAATTTGTCAATATTACAAAATAACTTGCTAGAATCCCATGAGTTGTGAAGTATTGTCATTCAATCCTATTCATTTTTATATATTTCATTATAACTTTTTCTGAGAGTTCTATGTTAAACCACTATACTAAATTACCAGTTCTAATTTCATTGTGTTATATTTATAGCGTGTAGTCTGTTTGATACTAATTTTTTGTGGCTTTGCTATATGGGGTAGTTCAAGGGTAATTTTTGTAAATGCTTTGTATGTGTTTGAAAAGAATGTATGTTATCTAGCTGGGCACGGTGGCTCATCCCTGTAATCCCAGCTCTGGGAGGCTGAGGTGAGCAGATCACTTTGAGCTCAGGAGTTCGAGGCCAGCTTGGTCAACATGGTGAAACCCCATCTCTACAAAAAAAATACAAAAGCTAGCCGGGTGTTGGTGGCTCATGCCTGTAGTCCCAGCTATTCAGGAGGCTGAGGTGCTTCAGCCTGGGAAGCGGAGATTGCAGTGAGTCGAGATCATGCCACCGGACTCCAATCTGGGTGACAGAGTAAGATCCTGTCTCAAAAAAAAAAAAAAAAAGTATGTTGTCTTCTTATTGTATACATCCTTGTATATTTGCCTAATAGATAAAGCTTTCACTTACTTTTCTTAAAATTTCTGCGACCTTACTGATTTTTGCTTGGCCAGTCTCCCATCAGAGATTTGTTTGAAATCTCTGATTCTAATGATGGTTCTGTCACTTTCTCCTTGTGTTTCTAAAAATTTTGACTTCATAACGTTTTGAACTATGCTAAGTAGGTGTACTCATTTAGAATTTTTAAAATTACTCCTAGAAAATTGACTCTGTCTCATTGCTTAGTGATCCTCCTTGTAATGCATCTTACCTAAATGCCTGTTAGTCTGACTTTAACATACATCCTCCAGCTACTTAGTTTCTTTCAGCGTGATGAGGATATTATTTCACTTCACTCTAAATGTAGTCGTTAAAAAATTATAAGCAGGAGAGTTACATGATCAAGAGTTCTGCAAAGATGACATGGGCTTCTATATAGAAAATGGATTAGAAAATTGCAAACAACTGGAGTAGGGAGGCTGTTGTGGGGCAGCATGAGATGGTGTTGGCTTGGCTTGGAGTGTTAACACCTGACATAGAGATAAAGGGAAGTTCATCATGTTTCTGAGGTAGAACTGAGAGATACTGATGATTGTTGTTGAGGGTGATCTGAAAGAGAGAGTGTGAGGATGATGAAACTTCAATTTCTATCTTGAGCAACCGGTTCCTTGGAATGATCATTTGTCAACTTCGAGGTGCTCCAGAGGGGCGTGCTCCTAAATCCATTTTTGTATCTGTTTCACTTATTTATTTTTCAAGAGTGTATTGAGAGTTGCTGTGAAGAACAACTTTCATACTTGTTGCTTTAGAGAGGATTAAAATAAGGTTTATAATGTATGGGCCAGCTGTGGGGGGAAAAAAAAAACCCCAAAACAAAAACACTTTCTGTCATGGCCCATTCATTAATTCCTCAACATTTTTTTTAATGACTTATTATGTGCCAGGCACATGCCAGTTTCTGAGCTTCCAACCATGAATACGGTGGGTGTAATGTGTGCCTGCATGGGGTTTACTAGTAAATGCAGACCGGCAGAAAGGCACTTCTCCATACAGTGTGGGAAAGCTTTGATTGGAAGTATGTGGTTCTGTGACTGCACATAGCGGGATCGCCCAACCTAAATTTGGTTGGGGTTGGGGTTCTATTGTGAAGATTTTTCAGTGCAAAGGAAACTTAAGCTAAAAGAGACAGACCTACAGATGATTAGAGGTAAGCCAAAGGAGGGTTAGGAGTGGTGGAGAAAGAACATAGGCCAGGAGGAGGTACGGCACAGTTGAAGAACTGAGGAAAGACTGATTGGATTTGAGAGTAAAGTGCTCAGAGAAATATACCTGTTGAAGGGAAGAGGAGCCCAAAGTATAATGAGACTTATAACCTAAGAAGGTGTGTTTGTGAGGAGCTTTCGGAAAGAAATGGAGATGATGAGATTTGCATTTTAAGGAACTCTGAGTGCATATAAAAAGCACTGGATCGAGAAATAAAGTAGGACAAGAGAATTAAGGGGCTGATGGTGATGGTGTCTTTAGCTGTGCCTAAGCTTGGCTGTAGACATGGAAAAAAATGAGTAGATTTGGAGCATGTTTAGGAGGCAGATAAAATGAAGATTTCATTATTGAGTGTATGCGGGGTTGAACATAAGAAGGAAGTAAGAAATTATACCAAGAAAATCAGGTGTGGAAAATGAGATCTTTTTAAGCCTGTAACAAAACAAAATTACAACACATATAGTTTAAAGATCTAACTGGATTTTATTTGTAATTATAGAATTGGACAATACCTCATTCTATACAGTAGAACGAGTGTTCTCGAGCTGAGCAGAGATTGGCCTTATAGGCAGAAAAGAGCTGAAAAAAGCAGAAGCACAACAAAAAAAGTTACTTTTGAATTACATACTCAATATTTAGTTAGATTTTTAGATGAACATACATCTTTTACTAATGGAATAATAGTTTTTAAAAATAGGAACGTACAGTGATAAAGCTACAATAAAAGTTGCTCTTGAGTTTTAAGATTCCCTTTTACTGATTTATTGAGGATTAATAAATTTACGAGCTAACTGCTAATGTAGAACTTTCTACCTGATCCTCTGGAAAATTAAGAAACCTGTACTGTGCTCTTAAAAAGAGTTTATCTACTAAACAAACAGCAAATAATAGTGTTGCATTTAAATCTGTTTGATGTTAATCCCTGGTTCTTTATCATCACTTTTCATTTGCAGTTATTTGTCAACTAGGTTTCATTGTCAAATAATTTTAAGAAAATATCACAAATTCTTCTTTCCCTGAGAAATTTTATATTTGAGTATATTAAACAGCTACTTTTCTACTCTAAGTTCCAATTGACTTAATAAAGTAATCGGATCACACTTTTTCTCAGAATTTTAGTGTCAAAGTAATCCTTTTGCCATAGCGTCTCTGTTAATGACTCATTTGACTGGATTTTATTATTAAAGAGTTTATTTTATGAAGGTCTTGTGGATGCTGCATTTCCTGACTTCTTGCATCTTTAAATATATTTTCTTTTATAGTCAAAAGGTATTTGGCCTTGTGAAATTCTTGAGTTGCACTTAGAAATCTGTAGACGATGCTCCTTTGTCTTCTGGCATTGAGTGTTCCTAATGGAAGGGTGAGACCAGTTTGACTTCTTTGTTCCCCCACATAAGTGAATTGCTCTTTTCTGCCTGAACACCTGCAGAATTCTTTTTTTTTTGTCTTGAAGTTCAGTGACTTAAGGATATAACTTTTTTTGGATCATTCTGTAACAATTTTTCCTGGAACACTGTCTGTTATTTCAATCTGTTCTTCGTGTTAGGGAAAGTTTATACTATTTTTACTTGAAATATTTTTCTATCCAATTTTTGGGTTCTTCAGGATCAGCAATTTTCAGGCTCTCTTTGTTCTTTGTGCCTCTTATCTTTTCTCCATTAAAAAAGAATATTTGTCTTCCTCCTCTGTATTCTTTGGAATTAAGCCTTTCTTCTACATTATTAATTCAATTTTTAGTCATATTCCTTTATTTTTAGTCATGTCTCTTCCTTTCCATGCTGTTTTTATTGTGTTTACGAGTACTGAGTTGATAAATTTTTGGTCTCCGGTATGTTTTATTGGCTTGGTGACATCTTTCTGTTGTCTTATCATTTCATCTTTGAGCTCCCATTCGTTGATAATCACTTTTTGGAAGTCCTGTAACATGAAGCCTTCTGCTTTTAAGCTGTGTAAATGTTAGGAGTGAGTGCTTTTTCCTCCTTTGCATGCTTGTTTTCTTCCTTCTCTTTCTTTCATTTCTTCTTTCTTTACTTCCTTTTTGTCCTGTGCTATGTTTACCTGTTTTCCCTATGACTTTGTTTTACCTTGTCTTGCTGGGCAGATGTTCTATGTCTTGTGTTGGTTAATCTTTCTTTCTGCCTTTTCATACTATAGTTGAGACCTATCCATTTTCTCTAGGGAGCTACACTTTGAGAATTGGTTATTATATCTTCCGTTTTGCTGTAATTCAAGGTGAAGAGTGGAATGGGACTTATTCTGGAAAAGGGCTGGGCTGGATTCTGTGCAAGTATGTCAAAATGTCCTTGCCCTCTCTGTCTGTTTTGGTGATGTATGGACAATGATGCCTTTTCAAAGAGCCACTCAGATACTGAACTTAGTATAAAGGCATGCAGACTATTTCTGTACCTTTGAGCAGAATGGCAGGAAGCTACCGCTAAGGGAGATTGGTGGCATTTTGTTTCACACTGTGGCTTTCCTTTTTATTGGTAAGAGCCCTATTGCACAGATTTTTATTTATTAAAGACCTTAAGATTTCTCCACAGGGTAATTATTTTAAATAACTAAGAGTACTTTGGTGCCCACAGGTGCATCTGCAGTGTTAAATAACAAAGTTATTTTATGCATTTCCTGGGGCAAAACATATTCAGAAAGCTAAATGGGTTTTACATTTCTGCTTTTTGTATATTGCTGTTGCACCATTTCCTTTTGCCAATATAGAAACAACTTACTACAAATTGCTTATCATTTAAAATTATCCCCTCATTAGGCTTTCTGATTTCTGTCATTCTTGGTGTTTCAGTTTAAAATGATGAAGTGTTTATACGATAGATACATATGCTGCATGAAACCATCATGCCCAGTACCTTGTAGAAACGTGTTCTTTATTGTATTTTTCTCATGGCAGGGGATGATCCTTTTTTGGTACTGATATAAATCCAGCTCTCACACGGGCAAAACACACACAACCTTGAGTGTGCTTCTGGTGATTCATTAAGTCTTTAGAGTGCAGAAGGGCAGTAGTGGGTCACGCTGGGGCAAGATTTCAGCCAGGAGTCTGTCACCTCGTATCGATCTGCCGGTTATTTGTTTCATTTATGTTTGAAGTTGCTCCACTGTAGCTGTGATTACTGTGAATTCCATCTGAGGCATACTAGATGATAAAAATAAACTGAAATTTGTGGTTTATAAGAAACCCAGAATCAACCTTCACATCCAGCTTATGACATTTATGTTTAAATGCAATTGGTGTTATACTCAATATTACTGAGATGTCTCATAAGGAAATTATTCATAATATGTATTAAAGATGGGCTATATGTGCCTGAGGAACCACCACGCTGTTATAAACTATTATTCAATTGTATTGATAATTTTATTAATTGAATTAGTTATAGGGAGTCGAACTTTGAAGATTGTTTTAAAGACGTTCTTTAATGGAACACTTACAGTGAAAATGTATTAGGATAATGGGGAAAGTTTCAGGTGTTGATGTTTGTTATTGTCAGTGTTTCTTTATTCTGCTGAATCAAAACTCATAATGTTAGCCTTTAAATTCTTCGTCTGTGGTTTAAATCTTTTAACATGTTGCTGTGATTTTACATACTCGTGTATATTATGTTTTTTCCTCCCTTTACTCAAAGCATTTCAGAATTTTAAGGTTGTCTTTAGCATTTGTTACAGGTTGGCATTTCTTTTCCTGAGCATCATTTCATATCATTTGGTTTGATTTAATGAACACTTAATGATTCGGTAGCACCCAAAGTCTGATTTGATGAGTGTAATTGTACAGCTGGTTAATTTGTGAGTAGAAAACAATACTATTTAAAGCCCTTACCTTATGAGTCATCTGATCAATTCACTTAAAAAAATCTGTTAGCTTTCTTGATAAATGAAATGGGGTCTTGCTGTGTTGCCCAGGGTGGTCTTGAACTTCTGGTCACAAATGATCCTTCTGCCTTAGCCTCCCAAAGTGGTAGTATTACAGTCAGGAGCCATTGTGCCGAGCCTGTTAGCTCTGTTTATTCATAGTTCATATCACCATTGTGAATGTAGTATTTTCATTGACGTCAGTAGTTTTACATAAGGTCTCTTGATGGTGATGAAACTAGTCACTATTAAGATGGAGTTTCCTTGTTTGGAGCCTCAGGAGAAATACCCACCATGCTTTTTTAAAATCAGGGGCCTCCATAGTATCAACTTTATAGTTGATGGTTTAGTACCTTTTCCTGTCTTAAAAAAGATACTGTCATGGAGGTGGACTTAAACTGGAAAAGAGTGATATAGCCGAAATAAATTATATATACATTTCATTGTTGCCTAAGAACAGGGATCATTTGTTCTGTCTCTTACAGTGTATTACTGTGCCTGCATTAGAGGCTGGCAGTATGTCAGGAGCTCTGTCTGGGGTTTGGTTATGTAGTCTATTTTGTGAAGGAAGTTAATGTTTTTGGATTGCATTATGATTGTCGCCCAAACCATTATCCTCATTATAAAAATCCTTAAATGTGTTTGCAATTGCTTATTAAAAGTCTCTGGCAAGAAGAGTTTAATTTATAATTCCTAACTTCTTGACTCCTTGTTTGATTGCATTTTTTTGGCGGAACCATGTTTATCAATATGTATTTTTAAAATTAGCACAGTTTTTTGTCCCTTGCCAGGTTCGAGTAACTTTCTCATTTTTGGGTGCTTACAATATTTTAACACTTAAAAATCCATAAAAATTTAACTTTGAAAACTACTGACAACTTTTCTGTTTTTCAAAGATGCCTTCTCTCAGTCAATGTTAACATTTTTTTTTCTTTGCAGCTGATGCAATTTTGTTTAAAAACATTCCCCACCCTTCTGCTGCTTTGAGCCCTTGATTTAACCCATTAAAAATGGGTACTTTTGAAGCATCTGCACTGAAAAATGCTTTCCAAAGAAAACATTTGTTAGAACACACAAACGATTTATTTGGGTACATTGAAGAACCTAAACATTTGATTCAGCTGCCAGTATGTGCTTTGCTGGCTAATGTTTCTTCAGCATTTCCACATTTTCATAGGCTAGCGGCCAAGTTGTCCGACAGTCTGGTACCTCTTGGGGGTGGAAGTGGGTGTGTATATGTGGAGCTGGTAGCACTAGCATGCTCCTGTATGTCGCCAGTTGGCATATGGTAGAACTGGCAGAAGCTGGCCCCGCCAACCTGGAAGCATATAGATACTAACAAGCTTCTTCAGCCTGCCCAAAATGGCTCGAGGAAGCTCACTCAGATCCTCTGTGACACTGATCCCAGGAAGTCAGAACTCTTAGAGCAGTTTTCTCAGCTATGTCGGATCTGAGGTAATCAAGACAGTACATCTGAACTGGAGTATGCCATCATTGCACTAAGACATATTGTGATTAAAAAAAAAAAAACCAGCACCAGTTCTTGTACAATGCTTTATGATTTATAAAGTGCCTTGCTATGTGTCTTGTCATTAGGTTAATAATAAATAAAAAACTTAAGTAGATTATAGTATCTCCATTTTTAGAGATAAGAAATTGGTCACACAAGGAGGAAGTGTTGGTGCTATGGTTTAAATCCTCCATCTTATCAGATTCTACCCTCTGTGTTTTCTCACTCTGCCACACTGGAAATAAAGCATGAACTGTGCAAGATGGATTGACCTAGTTTGATACAAAATTGCACCAGCTATATATCAAATTAAGGACCTATAACTCTGCTTGTACCACTGGCATGAGGAGGTGAAACAACAAGCATTTGTTGAACCTAACTAAGCACTGTGGGATTTGTCAGGTTTTGGTTAGATGAAGTCTAAAATTATAAGGAGGTCTCTATGTTAAGAACAAAAGATAGGTAGGTCAAGAGGCTTGTTTGTATATATCTAACAGGTAAACATAAAACATTTTCTCTCTCTCTGTACTGCATTAAGAGGAAGGTTTGATGGTAGCCCTATGAAGAAGATTTTGAGAATGGCCTTGGCCTATTGTTAAGTGAGAGCTGTGAAAGTACTACTTCTTCCATGTATGTCTTGAATACTTATTGTAGTTGTGCATGGTGCCAAGCAGTATCCCAGGGACTGGGGAGACAGAGGTAAGTGTTATATAGGGCTCATCCCTGAGGAGTTCTTAATCTAGTGGAAAATCTGAACATGGTAAGAGGAAATGACTCTTTTACCATGGCAGAAGTAGAGGAATCTTTGCAGACCCACACTTGAATGAGGGCTTGAAGGATGTTAAGGAGTTCTGTCACTAAAGAAGGAGTTTATCCTTTCCAAGGTAAGCTCATTGTAGGCATGTCCTAAAGTGAAGAAGGAAAGAAGTGTAAAAAATCCCAGTGGTATACACTGTTGAAGGCAGTAGAGAATAACTTAGAAGCTTACCTGGGGCCTGTTTGCCAGCAGTCCTTTTGGATGTGGGATAAATGGTAGGGGATTGTAGATAACACCCAGCCCCATGGGCTTTATAACCCCTTTCTCTACTTTTATATAGTCACATGTTCACTTCACTTCAGGCAGTATAAACTTTGATTATCCAGTCATTGCCTAGGATTGGCTGCTTTAGAACCTCCAAAAAGGTAGCTTTTGTATTCTGGCCCGTCAGTAATTATGGATTCATATTTCTTGGATATTCTTCCCTCCTGATGCAGCACCCACCCAGCATGCTCTTGGATTAGTATTCCTCCCACTCCAATATAGTAGAAGAATTTTCGAATAATTGCTATAGGTTTTTTTTTTTTTTTTAAAGTATGGGGTAAGGGAGAGAGATGTGAGATGAGGAGGCAATATAAACTTTCTTAGACACTTTATGGGAAATCCAAACGGAGGTTATGATAGGGAATAGAGATCCAGAACTCAGGGGAGAGGTGGGAGCTGGAGATGGATGATCTGTGCAGAGCTGGAAGTACAGCTGTGAGCATGACTTGGACTTCAGGGATCAACGTGTCGAGGGAGAAGAGAAGTGGACTTGGATGTGGTTTTTTAAGTTCCTGATGATGATAGTAATAGACAAATCATGTGTTAGGGACTCTAGAAAATAAAAGACGAATAAATTATCTTTCCTCGTGGAGTTTGCAAAAATATTCTTTACATTTCTACTGTGTCTTATGTTTTCAAAAGCATCATCTTTTAGAAAACTTTCTTAAGTGGTCAGTGTCATTGAAACCATTGAATAAGTCAAAGTCCCAAGATGAGAGTATTCATTTTGCAGTTTGCTGACAAGCATAGATGACGACGAAAGATACACAGATTCTCTTCTTCGGTGGCTTGAAATAAAGCTATTATCAAATAATGATTTGCCTTGAGAATATTAGGTAAAATAGAAGCATATGGAAATATAGTGAAATATCATGCATAGAATCATAATTATCCAGAAATCATAGCTGTCTGAGACCCCACCAGTGACTACAAATTACACAAGTAAGGCCTCTGAGAAGACAAATAGATGTCATAAGGTATTTATGCTTCACTTACAAGAGAGCATGTTGTGTGCTTATATTTCTATTTTATGTTACTTCCTATGCAAATTTAGCTGACTTATTTTTCTCATTTCAAAGTCTACAACAGATGAGAAGCAGCAAATGTAAATTAAGCATCTGAGCAAAGAAAAGGACCTTGAGAGATAGTTGAAGTTCCTCATTTGACTTGGGCCCAAAGATGTTAAGTGACTTATCCAGGATCATTCAGCTAGAAATAATAACCTAAATTGACTTCACTCTAAGTTCAGTGTTCTTTCTGTTTCACCATAGGGCAGAAGGAGCATCTATAAAAAGAACATGACCATATTGAGAAGTAGTAGCCTGACAGACTCTAATATGCAGATACAAGAACTCAAGAAGCACAGCAGTTTCAGGTCACTGAGCCTCGATACACTTCAGTGGGCCCTGAAGTTATCTCAGTATGCAGCATTTCATCGTCACTGATGCTCATAATTATTAGTCTGAGTCATCAGGAAAAAGTTAACTTATGTCCCTTGCCTTCTATGTAGAAGATATTAGGATTATTTCCATCCCAAGTACTTAGTATTTTCTCTTTTAAATTTGCAATTAAAAGAGAGAACCCCTCACCCATCCAGAAAACGAAACTCGTGAGAACACAATATTCCTAAGAATGCTGTATAAGTGAGGCTTATTGATGAAGAGACAGACCTGCCTTATGACTGGATGACTGTTTTGTAAAAATGACACATGTTTGGTACCAAGAATAATACACCTTAAGGGTTGTATGGGGTTATCTATATCAGATGCCTTGCTTACAAAGGTGATGGCATGGACTCCTCCTTGGCGGAAGGATGAGAGTCTCAGCAGGAGTGGTATTTCTTTTTTAAAATCTTGACTTTGTCTTGGAGCTGGGTCCCTTAGACTCTCATTTACACATCATCCACTGTATTCTTCTGGCGTTGAATACACCATGCGTTATTTGTTTAGTGACCGTGTATTCCAGCCTTGGCAGGCTCCTTCACCTTGGCATTTCTGTGCCTCTCTGCACAGATTCAAACTCATTTTTCTCAGTTTTGGTAACTGGTGCAAACCTATTTTAATGGATCATTCTTGGTTAAACCCCTCTGATGCTCAGACTCTCCATCTTCTGTGAACTCTTTCTCATGGGCCAGGAAAACAGATTCCCAAGTCAAAGATGCATTTAATTATGGATTTGGGAAGTGTTACATTTGCATTCATAGGAAGGTATTAGAAAACAAAATTAGAGGCCTTTTTAAAGCAAAGGAACTTGTCAGAAGTGAGTATTTTTAATTGTCCTTACGCATATCCTGGAAGTCATTTTGGTTACTATTTATAAGATTTTTAGTTATAAAACTTACAGGTCAATATGCAATGCATGTCATTTTACATTTTCTTTTTCTCAGTCTGGGATATTTAAGTGGCTGAAATTAGTTATAATTTTTCTTTAACATGGACAAGTCAGTTAGCTAGAAGTCAGCTGCATGTTTTGGAATATTAACTAACATTTGACAGTGTTTCCTGAGTAAAGTGCCGGCACATTACTGGGCATATAAATTCAGTGTCATTGGGTTTCGTTGCTGGGTAGAAGACTTTAAGGTTGCTGTCTCTTGAACAGGAGAAAGGATTGTGGAAGATTGGGGGCAAATGTAAGGAATTGACTACTTTGTGTGTCAGTGAGTGAAAATTGAATTTTGGCTGAGTCTTTTTGCACATGGAGCTACAAGAGGCCACAGAGGTCAGGACTGCATTCAAGCTGTCCTCAAATGAGACTTGGCTACCCTTTTCTTACAAATCCCCAAGGAACAGAGATTTCATGACCAATGTTGGCTGCACATTTCAGGGCCTCACAATCACACTTGTTCCTAATCCTTCCTCTTTCAGATACTTTTTATTTGGCATTTTTTTCTCTAAACTTTTACTTTTTTTTCTTTTAGTTCTCTTTATCAAAACTATTCATGTTCATTATAGACTCATTAGAGAAACATCAGAAAACAGAGAGAAAAGTAAAGCTACCATAATTTTAACTGCTCTTGGAATAATGAGGTAGCTTCATATAATTTATCTGTATTTTGATTTTGATACTTAAGAATGACATGCACAAGCTTGTATTATATATTGGGCACATTTCTACATCTTTCAGAATTATCATTTGTGATTTTTATGTTTCTGTGATAACTTATTTAACCACTATCCAATTTGGGGGCAGTTAGCTTGCTTCCAAGATTTAGTAATTACAAACAGCAGGGAAATTAATACTCTTTTGCACATCCTTAATTATTACCTTAGGATAAATTCCAAGAGTTAACAATTGCTAGATTGAAAGGTACATGCATTTTTATGGCTTTTGATATTTTCTGCCAAATTGCCCTGCAGTTTACAGCCCCGCCTACTAGAGTATTAGAGTGGCCTGCTCTTAATTTAATTTACATAGCAGCTACATCAGAAGAACTTGGAAAAGAAAGCTCATTGGTATAAAATTGTCATTTCGTAGCTTGAAGAGCATGTTATAATAGGGGCTTAATAACCTCTACAGAGGTTCCAGTCATCTTATGCCTTTTGGTGAGAGTGGGAAATTTTAATATATTTATTTGCTTCTGGAAAGGGAAAGATGAAAGGTGGAAAGGGGAGCAGAAGTTTTGGAGCAGTGTGCAGTTATGTGCGTGAATGTTGTCTGCATCTGCCCTTGGGATGCTAAGTCAGCCTCCACGTTATCACTGCATGGACCACGCAGAAGGGGATGGATCGTAAACAGCCATGTAGATACAAGCGCAAGATCTTTGGCTTGGTGACAGCCAGATTCCCCACCCATCATATCTGCTTGGCCTACACATCCTATCACTGTAGAGGACTGTACAGAGGTAATTAGAGGCTGGAATCCTTGTATATATTAGTTAGGTCCGATGGAAGAATGAAGAAATGAGCCATCAAAATAAAGTGCTTTTAGAATAAAATATTTCTTATGGAGACTTGACATTAAAATATTTTGCCCCAAAGTCTTTAGTCTGAAATATGTATTATTCGTCTGAAATATGTATTATTGTCATGGGATAATGTATTTTTAATGGTGGCAGCATTGACCTATTAAAGTATAAAGTTCTCAGCACTATTTTTTTTTGCTGTTGATGGTAGCTTTGTTTGTGAAGTAGCCATGTTGAGGGCATTGGATCCTAAGGTAAAGGCTTTTGACTGTTATGGTATCTGGAGTCACACTGATCCCTCACAGATGGGTTACAAGTGTACCTGAGATGTGCATCCCTACCCCTTGGGACTGCCTGCCAAGGCCAAGCTAAACTGCTTACCCCGGTATGCAATGGAGCTGCTACCTTTTTTGCATGTTCCATAGTGTGAAAATAATTGGGAAGCACTGCTTACAGTCCTGTTTTGTCTTTGGCTTCCTTGGAATGTCATAGGCTAGGTTCATATCAACCTTAATGTGTCAGATTCTCTTTAATGTGCCTCCTGCCATTTATTCTGATCATGTTTTTTGTTTTTGAAGTAAAGACGAGGTCTCACTATGTTACCCACGCCAGTCTCGAACACTTGGGCTCAAGTGATCCTCCCACCTCAACCTCCCAAAGTGCTGGGATTTATAGGCATGAGCCACCATGTCCAGCTTCTGATACCTTTTTGAAAGAATTGGGGGGTCCAAAAAGCTTTCGGGTATACACTAAAACTAGAATGACCTTAGATTTTTTTTTTTTTTTTTTAAGTAGAGACGGAGTTTCACCATGTTAGCCAGGATGGTCTTGATCTCCTGACCTCGTGATCCACCCGCCTTGGCCTCCCGAAGTGCTGGGATTACAGGCATGAGCCACCGTGCTCGGCTGACCTAAGATTCTTATAGAGTGTTTCTGAAATTGAGCGGTGGTTTTGCTATTGTCAATGTCCAATAACCTGGAAAAAAACCTGGGTAGGCTGTTTTGAGCTTCTGTGTTCTGTGAGCTATTCTGTAAACAATGGGAGATGCAAAGATCAATGAATTGTGGGTAGGAGCCAGTAAGATGCTCACTGTTGCATGGACCTACTTATTAATATTTGTGTTTTCTTGTGGACTCTTTATGTCTCTGCATCCATGGCTGTAGTTGGTGTGGGTGTGTGAAAGTACAGGGTACCTGGGTTTTCTCTTACTAGTTATACTGTCACACATATTACTTTTCCATTGCCCACTATTTGGATGGAAGGTCATGAATGGTATAAAATTAGACATTTGTCACAATACTTCAGAAGGAATCTGTCAGTACTTTCAAGCTAGCTTCCCCATTTGTTGATTTCACTGGTAATAAATTGTAGAAACAAACGCATGAGTTGAACCTCAGAGACTGTTCTTGCTTAAGTTCCACCTCATAATCCCATAGTGCTAGGTTTTCTTCTCATCTGTTATTGAGGGGCACAATCTTTTTGCCAGTTCTTTTGGGTGTTTGCATTTCTGAACCAATCAATCAGACTTTAGCATCCAAGCTGTACATGATTTCTTATTTAAAATTAGTAGCTTGCATAAATATAAACAATGTTTTTTCAAGTAATTACATTTAGATAAATATTTCTGCTTCTCCTTGACAACTTATTTTCTATGTCAAAATATTAAGATTTTCTGAAGTTAGTATTGAAAATGAAAGATTTATCCATTGGCATTATTAGCGTCATACGAGTACTAAATTATATACGAAACTTTTCCATATAGAAAATTGGAGTTATTTTTCCGAAAACTTTTTAACTTAAAAGGTAGTTGATATAAACAGATGTTCCAAAAACATTGTTGAATGACTTGTCCTAATTGTTGGAAGTAGTAAAACCTAAAACCATTTTTTAACGTTTATATAATCCATTCTAAAATTGAAAATAAATAGAAAAGTTAAGGTTAGTTGAGGCAGAGTGCTGTGTCTCAATGCCTGCGATGGTTTTTCCCACTGGATGTTTTTCAGGGACATACAAATAATTCCGAGTGTGTGTGTGTGTGTGTGTATACTGAAGTACTATACTTCAGCATATATACGTGTGTGTGTGTGTGTGTGTGTGTGTGTGTGTGTGTATAAATGACTCTCTTATACTTTATGATTGTTAACCTGTATAGAAACTTTGATTTTTCTATCCCAATAGAACACACATATTCTTACATCTTCTGGCACAAAATGACTATGCTTTATTTAATTGTATTTTAATCTTTTATTTAATAAGTATACCAGATAGCAATTTTCTTTACTGCTAGGGGAAAAATGATTAAATGCAGAATGATATATTTGCCCATGTTGCCTGGTATTTCAAATTATTAACCAATCCCTTCTATTGGTGTTGACAAAATGCTAAAAAGTAATGTGGGGTGATAGAATTATGTTTGAATCTCTGTTACAAGTATGCTTAAGTAATATAAAATTGTGTGAGAGAATGGTCTGTTTCTTCAAAACTCTTGAGATAGCACCTTGCTACTTTTTATAATTTTATAGACTTGGCAATCGTGGTTACTTTTAGGCACTAGTGTTTTTACATATGTCTAAATATTAATTATAGTACCCCTGAAGTGAGTTAGGAAATGCATTATCGAATTGTCCATTTATTTTTAACTGCTTTTTTTGGAGACCATGGTACAGAGTATATTCTTTTTGTTTTTGAATTTTAAAAAGTAGAATTTGTGATTAAACTTGCGAAGAGATTTTTAAAATACACTTTATTTTTAGAATTTTGAATGCACAGCAAAATTGAGCAGAAAGTACAGAGAGTTCCCATCTACCCCTCATCCCTACACATACGCAACCTCCTTAAAAATTTCAGCATCCTGCACGACAGTGGTACATTTGTTACAATGGATGAACCTACGTTGACACATCATTGTGATTCGAAGTCCATAGTCTGCAATAGGGCTTACTCTTTGTGTACATTCTGTGGGTTTTGACAAGTGCATATTGATGTGTATTCACTATCATAGTCTCATAAAAATAGTTTTATTGTTCTAGAAATCTTCTATGCCCTTCCTGTTTATCTTTTCCTTCCCCTTAAGACCTGGCATCTCTTGATCATTTTACTGTGTCAGTAGTTTTGCCTTTTCCAAAATGTCATAGAGTTGAAATCATATAGGATATTACCTTTTCAGACTGGCTTTTTAAATTTATTTTTCACTCAGTAATATGCATGTAAGGTTCCTGCATGTCTTTTCATGGCTTGATAACTAATTTCTTTCTATTGCTGATTAATATTCCATTGTCTGGATGTACCACAGTTTATCCATTCACCTAATGAAGGACATTTTGATTGCTTCCAAGCCTTGGGGATTATGAATAATGCTGCTATAAAGGTTGCATGGACATAATTTCAGTTCATTTGAGTAAATTCCAAAGACAGTGACAGTGTGATCTTATGGTAAGAATATATTTAGTTTTGTAAGAAGCTAATAAACTGTCATCCAAAGTGGCTGCCCATTTTGCATTTCTACCAGAAATGAGAGTTCCTGTTGCTCCACATCCTCCCCTACATTTGCTGATGTTAGTGTTTTGGATTTTGGCCATTCTAATAGTTGTGTAATGGCATCTCGTTGTTTTAATTTGCAATTCCCTAATGATGTATGGTGTTGAACATCTTTTCATATGCTAACTTGCCATCTTTGTCTTGTTTGGTAAGGTGTCTGTTGCCCTAAAGTCTCATTATAACACACACTCCTTAAGTTTTATTAAATTTAGGTAAGATTGCAGATTTTACTGTACACATGTCAGGAGCCCCCTGTGACTTGGTCCCCCTGGAGTTTTTAACTCCTAGAGTTGTCCACTCTGAGTCCCTAGCAATCCGTCAATTACAATTTGGGGTTTCCTGCCTGAATACTGGTTCTCACAGAGTTTTCTTCCCTGGTAAGTTCTGTTTCTCTGTGTCTTCCATCTTTGTCTCCAATTTCGGGACTGTATTTGCCTGTGACTTCTCTAACAGATCTGAGAAGAGTTGTTGATTTTTTCGGTTTGTTCAGCTTCTCACTTGTTAGGATGGAGTGGCTACTTCTAAGCTTCTTACATGCTAGGCAGGAAACCGGAAAGATTTTTTTAAGAAAATACCCAGAGGATATTTTTAGTTCTTCCAAAAATGCATTGTTAGTGAGAACACAGTCCTCTTCATAATAACTCTCTAGGAATTTTCTCAAAAAACATTTCCAATATTGTTATATAATCTGAGAATGTGGCTATCATGATTAAAGGCTCAAAGGAGGGCAGAATCTAATTGTTGTGATTATAAGATAGTATGTTTTATTCAAAAATCTGACAAGTGTAAATCTTTTTGTTCTTGTGTACTTTCCCCAGACAGAACCAGGAAAGATTTATTTCTCCTATGAGTAAGATCTTTAAAAGTACACTCACTGGCTACTCCCTGTAGTTAAAAAATAAATAAATAAATAAATAAAATTAAAGTATTTGGCCAATAATTTCTTTTTTAAGGATGCTAAATACTTAGCACAAGATAATAGTATAATGTGTCCATTTGTCTATTGTCAAGGAACTCCCTAGAACATAAAAAACATATCATTCTCAGATGAGTTAACAGTATAACATAGATCTCTGCATAATGAAAATATTTGCAAACGTTTTGATAGTGCAGTTCAAGCTGTATAACAGATTCAGCATATCAGTTACAAATATAACTTAGACAATACATTGTTTCAGTTTCAGCTGCATATTTTTAAGTTTTGTATTAGTTAAATTGTAACTGTAACATGAGTATATATGGGACAGTGTGTATGTGTTTGTATGTATGTGCACATTGCTGGTTAGAGAACCAAAATGACTCTTTTACACTTTATGATTGCTAACCTGTATAGGAACTTTGTTTTTTTTATCCCAACCATTGGCTCTTCTTTTTTTTAGCCCACTTGACTCTTTTTTTGCCTCACATTTTGAACTGTCAAGCATTTATTTTAATTGTATAGATAACATTTAAAATTATTTTAAAAAGTGAGAAAACATGTCAAAGCAAGTGAAAAATCTCACTCCATGTTCTATCAGCTCCAATTTTGAGTGTTTATCATTTTAGCATGCTTTTTCTGTCTCATATGCATTATTTTTAAAGTTATAGGAACATACTGTTTTTTTCACTTCTTTGTGATTCGTCATTTATATCAAGACAAAGAGCTACATATTTAATATATAAATATTTGGTGGTTTGAATGTCTCATAATCTATTCATCTAGTTCTCAATTGTTTGACATTAGATTGATTTCAATTATTATTTTTAATACTGGAAGCAGGTCGATTGTTCAGTCACTTTTTGAGACTCACATTGGCTGTGAATATTGTTATTTTTCCAGGATGCCTGTAGGCCTGATGTTTCTCATCTATTTATGTATCTCCAGTTTTTTTCAGGGAGTTTAGTAGGGTTTCAAGTTAATGGTAAAACAAAAAAAGCTTGCATTTTGCGGTATTTGAGGCTGTTGATCCCGCAATTTTAACTTTCAAAAGGTGGTGGTGGTTTGCCATCGTCTGATCTTTCAGACTAAACTATTAGGAGCAAAATAAAGTTTTATTATGCATTGCCCTTTTAAAATCTAGAAGCAATATCTTTGTTTTTATACAGCATTTACCTGATAATGTGTTGAGAAATAAGGTTCCTAAAATGTCTCTTTATATTTGCCTGAAATAACCATAATGAGAATCACTTCATATGTAAATATATTACATGAGATATATAATTTTACATATGTAGTACATTACCATATACATGTACTATATTTAAACACATCTAATTATATATAATACTTTTAACTGCTATGTAAGTCACTTATCCTTATCTACTAGTAGACTTCATTTCTCCTTTAATATATCTAATATAAATAATATATATTTTATATAAAATGCAGACATATTTTCTAAGGCTTCCTTATGACCTTACATTTTATCTAGCATCAACAATTGCCAAGATTTTCCTCTGATGCTGGTTAAATTAGTTAAGCTGTAGACATAGAGGAACAATTTCCCTCTGTCCCAAAATGTCTTTGGTGGTGGGATGAAAGAAAATACCATCATATATGGGACAATGACAATTGGAATAGAGAGAAAAGGCCGGCTGTGACTGGCCAAGAATTGTGGTAACAAGTTTTATGTGGGGTAGCAAGGGAACAGTTGCTAGCCTGAGAAATAGGGTTGTGTCAATGATGATGTCATTCCTTGATGGAAAATTCATGATGCGGAGCAAGATGTGTCTTTCTTGCCTGCGTTTTTTTTTGGAAGGGGGGTGTGGAGGTCAGAGATGCTGAACTTGGTTTGGATTTGTTAGTTGTGCCATCCCCATGGAATGTCCAGTTGGAGATGTTAAGGGGTCAGTTGGAATATAGTTCTGGATCTTCGGGGATAAAGAGGCCAGTGCTAAAGATACAAAGTTAGGTTTCAGCAATTAGTTGCTGAAGTCTGCCTAGCAGATGAGATCACCTTCGTGTTTTCCAGTTGGGGCACACCTGAGATTGTGGATAGAGCAGTTCGTTGTTTGGGACTGACTCATACGCTAAGGACTTTTAACATCTCTAGCTTCTGGGTGATAAAGGAAAGTGGCATTCTTCCAATTTTATGACATTCAAAACTTCCCACTCCCCGCCACCTTTCAATTTCCAGAAAGATTGGGTGGAAACTACAGGTAAGATCATGGTACCAATTCAGTGTGAGAGCCACTGACATGATAATGTAGAACAGCTTTGTCCAAGAGATATAGAATACAATCCACATATGTAATCTTCAGTACTCTAGTAGACACTAAAAGAAGTTATGATTTTTGTTTTCTAGTAGACATTTTACAAGTTTAAAAAAAAAAATTGGCTGGGCACAGTGGCTCACGCCTGTAATTCCAGCACTTTGGGAGGCTGAGGCGGGCAGATCACCTTATGTCAGGAGTTCAAGTCCAGCCTGGTCAACATGGTGAAACCCTGTCTCTACTAAATATACAAAAATTAGCCAGGCATGGTGGTGTGTGCCTGTATCCCAGCTACTCGGGAGGTTGAGGCAGTAGAATCACTTGAACCCAGGAGGCGGAGGCTGCAGTGAGCCGAGATCGCACCACTGCACTCCAGCCTGGGCGACAGAGTGAGACTGTGTCTCAAAAGAAAAAAAAAAAGTTAAAAAAAATTAACCCAGTGTAATCAAAATACCATTCAACATGTAATTAATTCAAAAATTATGAGACATGCTAAATTCTATTTTTTATACTAAGTCTTCAAAATCCAATATGCTTTTTGCATACATCTAAATTTGGACTAGTCATGTCTCAGCTGCTCAGTAGTTGCAACAAGTGGCTACCCAGACAGCACAGATATAGACGGTGCAACAAAACTGCATGTGCGAAAAGAAGTGAATTTGTGGTTTGCTTTTCTGCATATCTCCTGTCTTCTAAAACCAATTCCCTCTTTTATTCCTGTGAATCAACAGTACGATCTTCTAGAAAGGATCCAACGTTTAAACCTGTGTTTCTTGCCCTACTGCCCAGCGTATCTTTTAATTTTTTATAAAGAGCACCCTTCCCTCGTTTCTTTAGCAATTTATTTACATAACTTGTGATCATTTTTATTGTTCTTCACAGAAACTAGATGGAACAACCACAAGGATATATTAAATTTTATGTCACTTTTTTCTAACAAAATTAATAAAATATAAACAGGTTTATATTTCAGTTCATATTGTGAAATATTTTGTTCTTGATACAGGGGTCACTCTTTGTTTTTGTGAAGGAATGCAAAATCTAAAGATCTTATCCAGCCAATCTGATGTAGAGCCAAGGATAAAACTCTGTCTTCTAGTTCCCTGTTGAAAGTTAAGTCACCATATTAATTTGGGTAATTGTAGTTACTTTGGAGACTTCTGAGGCTAATTTAGTAGATCCTCATTGGCCATGTCTAAGAATGGGGCCAGAGAGATTTCCTTAGTTGTTATATTAATATTGAAATCTTCAGGTTTCTTTCAGTTTCCATTGCTTGAACTAATAAGCAAATTTGCAGCCCTTTTCTGGGATCTTTGCACTTGTTTGTTGGAGAAACTTGGATATGCAGAAAGGATAGAAGGAATTTAAGGAAAATAATAAAATTATCTTTTAAAGTATTGCTAATTTCCCAGCAGATATATTCTGAAGCAAATTATAAGTATGATTTTTATATCAGGTGTTATTTTCTTTCAATATTGAGGTATTATTTTATTGGGAAGTATAATTCAACATAAAATTAAGGTTCCTTCCTTCCTCCTTTCCTTTTCTTTCTTTTCCTTTCTTTCCTTTCCTTTCCTTTCCTTTCCTTTCCTTTCCTTTCCTTTCCTTTCCTTTCCTTTCCTTTCCTTTCCTTTCCTTTCCTTTCCTTTCTTTTCCTTTCCTTTCCCTCCTTTCCCTTCCCTCCTTTCCCTCCTTTCCTTTCCCTTTTTTCCTTCCCTTCCCTCCCTTTCTTTCCTTCCTTTCTTTCACAGGGCCTTACTCTGTTGCCCAGACTGGAGTGCAGTGGAACAATTATGGGTCATAGCCTCGACCTCCCAGGCTCAAGTGATCATTTCACTTAAGCCTGATTAGCTGGGACTATAGGTGCACACCACCATGACCGTCTAGTTTTTTTTATTGTTATTTTTTGTAGAGATGGGGTCTTGCTATGTTGCCAGGGCTGGTCTGAAACTCCTGGGCTCAAGCAGTCCTCCTGCCTTGGCCTCCCAAGGTGCTGGGATTACAGATGTGACCCAGCATGCCTGGACAAAATTAAGGTTCTTTTCTAATGAGTTCATAGAATCAGCAATTATAAAACAGTGGTTCTGAAATGGGCTGCTTTACTACCTCTCCTCTGCAACATTTGGCTATTTCTGAAGGCATTTTTGATGGTTACAACTGAGGGGATGTTACTGGGATATAGTGGCAGAAGCCAAGGATGCTGCTAAGCATCCTACAATGTACAGGACAGCCCGGACAAGAAAGACTTATCTGGTGTAAATGTCTGTAGTGCAGATGTCAAGAAACCCTGGTCTCAAAGAATATGTGAGTTACAACAATGGACTTCCTCAAATATACTCTCTCTATTGGCAACATTTATTTTAGCCATATTCAGCATCAAATAGCAAAAGAGGGTAATAGAAACTTCCTGGGTATGATAAGTTATTCAGTTATTCAAAATTATACTGTTTCTATTTTTATGGGTCATGCTTATTAAGAGGCTGGCAGGAAGTAACAAGGCCTGAGTAAATGCTGTGCAGTTATATAATTCCTTAATTTAAAAATGTATTCCAAATTTCTGTTGAATGAATTTTGTTTCCTTTATGACTTTATTGTGGTACGTTTTAGAATTGGAGAAATACTCCAGAAAGGAAAAAAGAATGCTGGATTTAATTTATTTATGTACATGCATGTACATCCTACAGAAATTCCAAGAAGAGACAAGCATGGTTGGTAAAATGTGGAAAAGCGGAGGTGGGGAAAGAACATCGTCAGGGTGATGACAGGAACATGTGTAATGGCACAGAGGTGTTGGTATTGCTGACTTCATATTGCCCTAAATGCAGGCTAATTTTGAAATTTAGCAACTTATTTCCTTTGTAGTTCTTTTGATTTCCTCAAGTAATTTTGAAAGTTTTCCAGGGCTCAAATTACAGGCCACTTTGTGGATAACTTCTCCAGTAATCTGTTTGTTAAATACGTTCAGTAATAAATGTCTTTCTCTTAAACAGTATATTTCTGGATAATCACATAAAGGAGAACCAGTAAAGCTTTTTATTTAGCACTATGTCAAATATAGAATTTGCTTGCTAGGAAGCACTATCAGACACTTCATGGTTGTCTTTAGTAGTCAGAAAACATTAGATGTCCTCATTAGGATGAAGTGACTTGTATTTCTGTGTAATCGGTGTGTACATCGTCACAGTTTTAAACAGATAAAATAATTCATTGCTGCCATTTACCATAATTATATATTAATGTATTCCACAATTATGTATTAATTGTGTGGGTTAGTTTTCTGTCAATTCCTGTCATCATTTATAAAAAACAACTCTTAACATTTCTGTTTTAGTTATGTAATAGTTTTATAAAGAATATAACACACAAAACTTAGTGGTTTCTGCAAAGAGTCAAAGAAAATCAGGTTAGTACACCCATTCTAAAAATCAGTTTGGGAAGAATAAGTGAAATACCACTATTACTGCTATTACTAATTATAATTATTTAAATATTACCTATTAACATTTGTAAAAGACATTATGTGCTAAGCAGTTTATATACATTGCCTCTTTGAAGTCTTAAAAAAATTATATGAAGCAGAAATTTATCAGCACTTTACAGATAAGAAAACTGAAACCAGAAGAAAGTCTCATACACCTGGACTTATATACATGGTAGAGACTAAACCAGGAAGTCTGATCATCAGGCCCATGCTCCAAGGCAATGTCCTATTCTAACTTGTACTCTATGCAATAATGAAAGTGTACAGAATTCTTGGGGATATTTGGGTGAAATGAATTAGATATTTAACAGCATTGCCAATAAAAATGTCAAATTAGTACAGTAATTGGATTATACGTAAAATTTAATATAACTAAAGACATCATTTGGGAAATCTGGAAAAATCTTAACTTGGAAGTGGATATTCTTGAAAAATTGATAGATTATATATTGGGTCAAGTGTATGCATTTGGCCATAGAAATGCAAGATATCTTTCTTCTCTGCATTGTGAGCATCCAGAGTGTTGGTGGGAAAAAGAGGAAAGGCATGGCCATTCTTGTTAGGTGTCTGACATGACTGTCTAGACAATGCAAACTGCTACAACTTAGTTAGTATTGAAATAATCTTTTAGTCCTAACTACTTTTGTTATACCTTGTAATAACAAGGCAAACACTACGTCATGCTTTTATGTGCTTTGATAACCTTTCTTGGATGAAGTAAAAATCTAAAGATCATTTTTTCTGCCTCACTTTTTTTTGGAAACATACATTCCACTAGAAACCAATACCATGCTCAAGGTTTTCAGAGGAAGATAAAATTACATATAAGCACAAAGTTTTAACTAAATATTTAAATTACAAATATATGAAGAGAATGAATGTAGATTCTTAGAAAAAGACAAAACCGGGCTGGGTGCGGTGGGTTTCGTCTGTAATCCCAGCACTTTGGGAGGCCCAGGTGGGCGGATCACAAAGTCAGGAGACCGAGACCATCCTGGCTAACATGGTGAAACCCCGCCTCTACTAAAAATACAAAAAATTAGCCAGGCGTGGTGGCGGGTGCCTGTAGTCCCAGCTGCTCCGGAGACTGAGGCAGGAGAATGGTGTGAACCCGGGAGGTGGAGCTTGCAGTGAGCCGAGATCACGTCACTGCACTCTAGCCTGGGCAACAGAGTGAGACTCCGTCTCAAAAAAAAAAAAAAAAAAAAAAAAAAGAAAGAAAAAACAAAACCTAATTACTTAGTTTACTTGTTTAGCAGTGTGCACATTTTTCTGGCTGCCAAAGAAAAAATTAAGGTTGCTTGCTCTTTCTTGTTTTCATTGGAATGGTCACACTTTAAAAACTTAACTTGGATTTTTATTATTCCTATACATTCTTTTATTTTTCCCAACTCTTCAGCACTATTTTTTTCCAGGCTATGCAGGAGCTAAACACTCACTGATCCATGTTGTAGAAAGTTAATCCATTTTGGGTTTGATAAGGAGCAACTTGAAATCATTGTACACAAGAAAAGGTGGAAATTTAGGTCAATAATTATTTCCTTTGTTTCCCACAGAAAATATATGACTTAATACTTAATAGTAATCTTCATTTTCTCTTGACACAAAAGACCAGTGATGTTATTTCATTACATACTCCCTTCAGTGTTGTGAATGTTTTTTTCATTACTATTCAAACAACTTTTCATAAAGGGAAATGACCAATGAATATGTTAATGTACAGTACTCAAACTTCTACTTTGGCAAATAGCAATTTGTATTTTGTTTTTTGGTTTTGATAACCATGAGTTTGTAGAATAAAATGGTAGTAAATTTTTTTTGAAAATGTGGCTAATCAGAGGATTGGTTGATAGCATTTTTTTTTTTAATTTTAACCAAACTTGTATTTCCATGTTTGGATAAATTTGACTTTATTAGTCTTTTTTATATGATTTGAACCTGCGCAGCTTAAGAGAAATCTTTCCCTCTGTGTAACAGATTTTAGGTAAGCAAAATATATTGAAATTAAATACTATACCCAGATATTCATGTATCCCAGAATGTAGTAGGTCCTTTGAGGGATATAGGAGGATTGTGACATGGTTTTCTTTTCCTATTTGGTTTCCTGTCTTAACCTTAGTGGAAAATCTAGAAAAATCTTTGTCATTCTTGACACTCTTCTCCCAGCTCTTTCTTACCACCAGCACTTCCTTCATCTCAGTCATCAAAGGCTGTACAGCTCTGAACTGTCTCTCAAATATTTTTCCTCCTCTTTCTTCCCACTGCCACTGTGACCTCACCACCTCTTCCCATGTCCTGTTGTGGTGGGCTGTGAGCTGGCTGCAGTTTCTCTTGTATCACATCAGACATCTTTGTAAGTCAGCTTCCAAATTGCTTCTAGTCCTGTCTTTCTGTAAACAACGCTTAAACTTAGCTTTTGCTTAATAAGCCTTCATGACTCGTCACCACCTGTTATGTGATGCCCATACACTTTTCTTCCCCTTTTACGTCAAGCTGTCTTAAGGCAGGGAGCCTTTCCGTCTTGTTCACTTGCACCCCTAGCAAGTAGCACCCAACAGGCATTACAGAAACATTTTTGAAGAAATGAATTACCATAACATATAAGAAGCTTGATATGGCTCGGCTCTGTGTCTCCACTCAAATCTCATGTCAAATTTTAACCTTATTGTTGAAGGTGGGGCCTGATGGGAGGTGATTGGATCATGGGGGCAGTTTCTAATGATTTAGCACCACTGCCCTACTGCTGTCTTGTGAGTGAGTTCTCAGGAGATCTGGTTGTTTGAAAGTGTGTAGCAACTCCCCCTTCGCTCTCTTCCTCTGCTCCAGCCATGTAAGATGTGCCTCCTTCCTCTTCGCCTTCTGCCATGATTGTAAGTTTCCTGAGGCCTCCTCAGCCATGCTTCGTGTACAAGCCTGTGGAACTGTGAGTCAGTTAAACCTCATTTCTTTATAAATTACCTGGTATCCGGTAGTTCTTTAGAGCAATGCAAGAAGGGACTGATACAACCCTTCATGACCTGACTCCAAGTAACTTTTCTGGTCTTTTCTCTAGTTACTTCTCCAATGAACATTATGTTTTAGCCATGCCAAATTCTGTTTTATTGTTCACCAATATGGGGAATTTCATATCTCTTTAAGATTTTGCCTATGCTCATCCCATCTGTCAACAACAAGCTTATCTCCTAGATCCTGGAGAATGATTGGATCTTATATTTTTTTATTAGTCCAACAGATATTTATTTACTTAATGGTGTAAGTTTCAAGGCTAGGATAGGAGTACTGTTACGAACAAAAAGAGAACTCTCTGTCCTCCTGGAACTTATGTTCTAGTGTAATGGCATATAAAGAGTCTGTCAGGTAGTGGTGAATACTGTGATGGAATAGAATGCACATAGTCCTGGAGGGAGGAGCATTTTTGATATGGTCAAGATGTAGCCTGAACAGAATGGTGGACAATGGGGTTGGGGAAGTGGTTAGAGGCACCTGCTGTAGGTCAGGGCAAGAACTTTAGAATGAGCTTAGAGCTCTCCTCTCCATTGTATATGGGATCAGTTTGCCTTTGCCTTGCTGCTTCCACCTCAGCCGTGGTACTTGGTCTCTTGATATATCAGGAGCCTGAAACCCACTAGCCAGAGTTGCTTGCACAGTTCTAGGCTTACACAGCTTTGTAGCAGTGCCAAAGTACCCTGTGCTTTGAGGATCTCTATCTCTGGAAGCAATGAACAATAGATTGTCATCCTGAATTTAGACTCATTGTCATTTTCATAATCTTGGACAGATTATATAATCTCTCCAAACTTTAATAATTTTCTCATCTAAAATAGCCGTAGTTAAAAAAAGTTGATGTGCGATTAAATGACTGGAATGAAACTCCACAGAACTTTCTCTTTTTTGCCCACTGATATATCATAAATAACTGGAACAGTGACTGGCCTTCAATAAGTATATTGGGAATGAATCAATGTATGAATGATGCAATGAATGTAAAGCACATGAAACAACCCCTGGTACATGTGTTGAATAAATGTTATTGTTATTATAACTGTTATCATAATTTGTAAAATTAGGGAAACTTGTGAGGATATTGTGGTTGTATTGCAAATGTACTTCTTGATCGTCTATGAGGCCTGCCTGCTGCATTGGCACTTCTGCCCAGGCTCATGGTGCCTGGCTTCTGTGTCCAAGCATGTGCCCAGGGAAGGAGGCCTGGCATCATGGACTGGAGCACCCAGCCAGCTTTCTGGTTTCTCTCTACTCCTGTTTCCTAGCTCTGGACTGTTGTGGGTAGGTCCTGAGCATTAGTTTCTGCTAGCCTCATCTCCCAGAAAGGATCTTGTTTCTGGCTTCCTTTTCCAGGACTGAAGTCAATTCTTTTCTTTACCTGACATCAAACCCACTTGTAAGTCCATCTCTACCCTAATACCTGCCTCCACATGTCAGATCTCTCCTCATAATGTTAATACCTGTTCAGCTGAACTGAAGTTTTGTCCTCCTTCTCTAGGGATTGGTTGGTGGTAGGTTAATACTTCTCTTGCCATGATGTTTTCTTGCTTTCTGAACACTCCTCTTATCCATGGTTCATGACTGTGGTGCAGATGGAATGGAATGACGGGCAAGTAGAGGCCCTCACTGAATATTTAAGGAAAGATTTAGCCAACTCACAACCCCCAAGTGTGTGCAGTTTTTCAGAGTATGAATGACAGAAATACTTTTCTAGTACAATTTGTGTAAATGCTGGGGTGAAAAGTGTTATTCGGAAGCTCAGATGTCATTTTAACCATCCTCTGCCCAATGAACAAAGGAAAGTAGGCATGCATCTGTTGTAATCCTTAAAAATGTATTGAGGCCTTTGGAAATGCCAATAGTAAATTTTGGCTCCCAGTTTGGATTGGATTGGTTGCCCTTTTGAAAAGCATCCATTTGCAACTTGAATAAGAACATCTGCTTTTCATGGCTAGTTCAGCAACTATCACTAATAGGAAATATTTTTTAAAATATTAGTATAAACTGCACATTGTTGTGATAGCTTGGCACTTTACCAACATAGGAAACAGACTGATAATTGCTATCAGGAAATTAAAAATTGCTGCATTACATAGACAGTTTTACCAGTCTTTAGGAGAGATACTGTTCCATATGCTTCAATGTGAGGATTTTAATGGAAGGATTCTGTTTTTGAAACCGAAGACAAATATTTCAGAAGAATGTAATTTGGATCATTGAAACATATGGGGGATTTTAGTTGAGAGTCCCAATAGGCCTATGGTTTTGGCTCTTATTTCTGTTAATAAAATACAGTTATTGACATTGATATCCATTCTCCTAAGATGCAAAAGAATGTAAGATGAAAGGCTGGGCTAGAATGGCAAAGTCTGTGTTTGAAGGGATGTTTATTTTGTCCCACTTCTGGTACTTTGATTAGTTATATGCCCTCTATGAAACTGAGTTATCAGCATGAGGATATGTGAGTAGAGAAAAGGATGTTTTTACACTTAGCCATTATAAATTAAATGTAATGCTGAGAGGCATCTGTCCTGAGTATAAAATGTAGAAGGTGAAGTTAGCGTTTCATTGAAGGCCATGAAACCATTTTGAAAATACTGAGTGAGCCACCAAAGGCAAGAATATTTTTTAAAAGCTGGGTAGCAAATGAAGTTACTGGCTAAATTAATTATGAGATCTTCCTAGGATAGAAACATATAATCTCATCAAGTTAAGAAAATATGTGGAAAACTTGACTTAAAGGGAAAAAAAATATTAATAGCTTTGAAATAGCTTTGAAACCAGAGACTGATTCTCCAAATCGTTGCTACTCACCAGTGACCACAAGTTTCACATTTAGTTCCATAGCTAAATTAGCCCAGCTCAGGGAGGAGCTGTTACTGAGATTCCACAATGTCTCTGTTGGGACCTTCAATAAGGTGTTCATATTTTTTTTCTATTGTATTAGGAGTGCATATTGATATAGAGAAAGGTAAGTGAGTGGACAGGTAGGTACATAGAGTATGGTGATTAAGAGTGCTGGCTTGGGGTCACACTCACTGGTTTTCAATACAGCTGTATTGCTTACTAATTGTGTGGGCTTGGGCAATTTAACCTCCTTATGTCTCAGATGCCTCAACATCAGATAATACAGCATCAACCTCTTGGGTTGCAGTGAGGATTAGATGAGCAGCTATATGCACAGCTCTTGGCACATGATCTGGCTCACAGTAAATATGCAAATATCTGTATTATTTTTGTTACCAAGATAATGACAAAATGACTGTTGCTTCATGCCACTGTGTGATTTGTTGCATGGCAGTAGACAACTGAAATAATTACCTAAACATGATTTCAATCTATTAGGTTTGTTAACCCTTACCCAGAGAGAGGGAGGAATTCACTAATGTGCTTGTATATAAGCAAAGGTTTTGCAATTAGTTGTTAACCTGTTAGTGGAACTGGCACATCTGCAATAGGACTTGAAAAAAATTGCTGTTATTGGTGTTTGTGGTTGTTAGGGTAGAAGTGAGAGAAGTTGAATTCTCTAAGAAATCTTTTTTATGCAAACCCCTAATTGCCCTGTAATCTGATTCTGATACTTTTTCTATAGGAAGAGGTACCCACAGGATGTTACTTTTAACCAGTTGGCACTCTTGCATTGCAAACCTTTAAGAATCTGCTATGCCATCCTGGTGGCTCATGCCTGTATTCCCAGCACTTTGGGAGGCCAAGGCAGATGGATCACTTGAGGCCGGGAGTTCGAGAACAGGCTAGCCAACAAGGTGAAACCCCGTCTCTACAAAAAATAGAAAAAATTAGGCGTGGTGGCGCATGCCTGTAATCCCAACTGCTTGGGATGCTGAGGCACAAGAATTGCTTGACCCTGGGAGGCAGAGATTGCAGTAAGCTGAGATCGTGTCACTGCACTCCAGCCTGGGTGATAGAGTGGGACTCTGTCTCAAAAAAAAAAAGAATCTGCTATGAAAGTGTCCCAACCAACTTGGTGCAGTGAATCTTGACTGTTCATATGTCCCTTACATCACTGTCTAGCATAATGTAGATGTGGGGCAGGGGCGACATATTCTTATTTCTCATCACCTGTAGCTGAACGTGAAGATTTAAAGTGGATGTGTATTTCAATAAAATATCATATTTCCTGTATTTACAAAGAGCAAAACAAATAGCAGCAGTTATTTTTGACTTATGACAGGAACCCTTGTTTAAAAGCTTAGAACTGTTGAGTATTGCCTAGCTAGCTCCTTATTACTCCATTTGTGCAAAATGAGTCAAGGTCAGGAGGAGAGAAAGGAAATGACCTGCCTTGGGAGGTTAGGAGGGCACATTGTAGGAGTTGACCTGGAAAGTCACCCCATTGTATGTTTTTATGAGTTCTGGTCATTGAAGATCAGTCCGTTTCCTTGCTGCACATTACATTCAGAATATTTTGAGATGTTGGGATCAACGACTGTTGTGATTATATGGTTTTTGACAGGGAGAGCGAATGTCAGCTCGACTACTGTGTTGCCAACTCTTTTTTTTTTTTTTTTTTTTGAGACCGTCTCCCTCTGTCGCTCAGGCTGGAGTGCAGTGGCACCATCTTGGCTCACAGCAACCTCTGCCTCCCGGGTTCAAGCGATTCTTCTGCCTCAGCCTCCTCAGTAGCTGATACTACAGGCGCCCACCACAATGCCTGGCTAATTTTTGTATTTTTTGTAGAGACAGAGTTTGACTATGTTGGCCAGGCTGGTCTCAAACTCCTGAGCTCAAGTTACCTGCCCACCTCAGCCTCCCAAAGTGTTGTGATTACAAGAGTGAGCCACCACGCCCGGCCATTGCCAATTCATATTTGGTAAATGGGATATCAAGATTATCCTTCTCATCCCGTGCACATGGAATTGGTCAACAGCCAACTAACAAATTCTATGGATGATTTTTCATTAATTCAAACAATTCACTCATGAAACAAGTGTATAAGCATACATAAAGTATTTCTTGAGGGTTGTGTAACATCAAAATGTTTGTTATAAATATACAAAGAATACTACATTACTAAAATTGATAACTGTAATTTTATTCATCTCTTAGGAATCAGTTGAGCTATTGATTCCACAGCAAATGTGTTTTGATTAAGATCATGGCAAGATATGTTTGACAGCAGTTCCAGATTATTAGAATCTAGTACATATTTAAAGTCTACATTCATCTGAGATTATATGTATCTGATCTTAGTTCAGTGAGATACATCTATCAATATTTTGCTTCAAGGACTGTATTGTCAATGCTGTGTAATTACCATGTGTTGTATAAAAATCACACACCTTCCTAGATAGTTTGGAGCATGCTGTGATACTGAACGCTTTTGTTTATGAGGATTGAGGTTAGATCCGTGAATGCAGAGTTGAATATGCTTCACATGTGTTTGCAACAGGCATATATACAGATTGAATCTGCACTAGTTGAAAGAGTTTAACAGTTGAAGCTTAGTTCCCCAGCTGTGAACATTGTTATTTATGGTGTTTATTATAGTTGTGGCTGTGAATGATTCTAGAAAATCATAGAAAGATTTCCAGGAAATCTTGATTTCTTAAAAAAATCGAGAATGTTTTATTTTTTTCACTTGTACGTGAAACTAAACCGTACATCTTGACTTTATTGCATGTAGAATTATTCAAGAACAATATAAATTTAAAGAAAAACCATCATGAATATATAGTGATACTTAAATGTGTTAAGTGGAACACAGACCCAGTCAGGTTTTTATGATTTATCAGTTTTTAACTTCAAAGACTCTGGTTAGCTTCCATTTTTTAAACTAATGAGTTTATCACAGCCAGTGGGGAAAATGGTTAAAGTATATCAGCTGTAAATTGGTACAAAGCACTAAAAGGGACATTAGCCTCTAATCAGATTCTAACAGTTCATTAAATCTGCTTTTCCAGAATCGCTCTTTGTCTTTTCTCCTCTTTTGCTTGGGCCTTCCTTATAAGGCATCTTCTTGCCTTCTCATCTGGGCAAGAACTCCTCCAGGGTAGGAAGCAATATCAGCTCATCCTTCATTGTCTACCAGCCAAACAGCCTACAGGGTGCTTTGTTAAGGTGGATTCCTAGAGCTGCTGCCAGACTCCGGAGAGTCGAGGGCTGGCCGGCTGCAGGAAGGCTTTCCTGAGACTGGATGGTGGTAAGCCAAGCTGGCTGCTGCCAACCTCGGAAGCCAGTGACACATTAGGATTTGAGATCCCTGCCCCATGTGAAAACAACCCACAGGCCTCCATGAAAGGGTTTCAAGTTTAGAACAACTCACCCAAGCTCACCAGTAATATACCACAGTTCCTTCTGCTCTAAATTATCTATTAAGATATAAAATTCTGAAAAAAGGGACAAGTCAAAAGCAAACATTTTTAAAAAGTATCCTGCCAGTTTTGAAAATATTGAACATTTATGGGGAAATAATATTGACAGTAATTTGTTTTCTTCTTTTTATCACCTTATAGACTAGGTGGTGTAGACTTTTTAAATGCTCATTAACTCCAGAGTAAATTTGCTTTTTTTTTGTTGATTCCTTGGAGGCTCTGTATGTTTTATTTCTTGGAACATTTTTCTTAACAAAAAGAAGAGTCAAGAAATATGAGAAATAGTTTCACTATACTGCACTCTGTTGGTATTATTTGGTAATAAGAACATGTAATTTATGATTTGTTGAAAGGAGAGTCGTTTTTATTTATTTATTTTTGAGATGGAGTTTCACTCTTGTTCCCCAGGCTGGAGTGCAATGGCGTGATCTCGGCTCACTGCAACCTCCACCTCCAAGGTTCAAGTAATTCTCTTGCCTCAGCCTCCCGAGTAGCTTGGATTACAGGTGCCTGCCACCACGCCCAGCTAATTTTTGTATTTTTAGTAGAGACGGGGTTTCACCGTGTTGGCCAGGCTGGTCTCGAACTCCTGACCTCAGGTGATCCACCCGCCTCAGCCTCCCAAAGTGCTGGGGTTACAGGCGTGAGCCACTGTGCCTGGCCCAGTTGTTCTTATTTAACCTGCTATTTTGTAGGAAAGCAACCATATTAAAGGTGAACACCTGAAGATTTAGAAATTATACTTATCTTTTTCACCAGGTAGGCAAAATATTTAGAAACTGATTTTTTTTTCTCTTAATAAGACTACTTTAGTGTCCTGTGGTTACATTCTGTAATTAAGTAAAAATAACCATTCTAAAATCTCAATCAAATTTAGTTCTGTCAGATTTGTAGTTGAGTCAATATGTAACAGAGAAATTAGCATTCTAAACATGTTTAAAAATATGAGCCTGATTTGGGCCTTAGGCGAGCACTGAAGTGTGATTCTGACTCCCTTCCTGGGTTGCTGACTGTAGAAAATCCCCAAGGCGGTGACAATTACGTAGAAAATAACCTTGATTTAATCTTTTATAAATGGTGTTTGAAATGTTATTGAGCTACAATATAGATAAGATTTTCTTTTCAAGAGGTGGTAAATTGAGCAAAACATATACCAGAATAAAGACCAAATAATTGTTTGTTATTTAGTTTAGCCTAAAAATTCACTCTTAATCTAAGATTTATGTTGGTTGTTTTTAAAGTAGATATTTGGAGGTTGATAGGTAGAAATTTTCATTTGACCAGAATTGCCATGACATAAAAATTAAATGTATGGAATTATATTGATTTTAAATGATTTAGGCTTTGACTAATATGAGAGTTTATAAATTTTTATGTGATTTTCTCCTTTATGGATATCTTTGCACAATGCAATTTCCAGAACTAAGGGAAGAGAAAAACTTGCCTTCTGTTTCCTTCCACTATTGTGAAAGTGTGATGAATTGTTGCAGCCCCATATAAATTAACGTAAGGTTTCCATACTCCAGTTTATTACAGTCTGACCTCCAACCCAGAGGTCAGAGAATCAGACTGCTTAATTCAACTGCTTGGTCATTATTTCAAATGAAAGTTCAGAGTAGGGGGATAATTGGTTATGCTGATATTTTCATTTAATTATTCTTTATTGTTTAAAAAATTAGGTTAGCAATACTAAATGTACTACAATGAGGGAAGACTCTCCCAGAGGTCCTCTTTTGAATGCTTTAGAGCTGAATCTTTCTCTCTCCCTTCTATTCTCAGAATATCAACACCTTTGAGAACAGAATGTTAATGCTTGATGGGATGCCGGCAGTCAGAGTCAAAACAGAGCTTTTGGAATCTGAACAAGGGGTAAGCACAAGTTTCCAGCAATGCCCCACTCCTTTTGATGAGAGTGGCATTCTTCTGCAGAGCATCCTGAGGTTTGCAGAGCACTTCTACGGTTTCCCTTGCTTAAGCTTTTCTCTCTCAGGTTAAAACAAACAAAAATCTGAGATTGTGGTTGATCTGTACCCATTTGCAACTTCAACTATTATTTCCTTGGAAGGGATAGTATCCTAAAATTTGGAAGGCATAGTGACATTATTAGAACCATATGGCTATATCTAAATTGGTAAATGATTTGAAAAGCTAATAAAAATCCAAAGCAAAGAGGAAGTATTAAAAAATAAGGTGGGACTATAACCTCAGTGTCATCATAGTTTGGTTGATTCTAATCAGGAAATGACAAAGTACCGCTATGAGAATGTTACTGTTTGTTGGATGGGTTTCTCTTTTGACATTTGTACTTGCCCTTTCTTACTGTAGGAGTACTAGGGGATAGTTGATGAGGTCACTGAATTTGAAAAATTTCTAAAAGCGAAAGAAAGATTATTTAACAGTACATAGCCAAACCAATGAATTCATTTATGGGTACTGAAAATACAAGGACTATGAGTGCATATTTTTTTAATGACATAGATTTTATAATGAACATTTATGGCTTCACTGGTTTAGTTAAGAGCATAAGTGCAGGATAATTGGTTGCAGCATTGGCAACTTTAAGAGATAAAGTGCTGCTCATGTGGCTGAGTGCCTGTTGGCTACTTATTTTATTAAACCACCACCACTGAGGCAGCACAGGTGACTGATAGAAGGACATAAATACGTATATAATCTTTACCTTATCAGTGTCTCTCTTATTAAAAAATCATAACTAAAAATTAGCAATGTTTTGTACTTGAACATTCAAAAGAAATTTTAAATGTGAATAAAATCTCACTGTTAGAGTATAAAAATCAATGTGGATGAGTACATCCGGGATCCCACTCAAAGGGTTAGGATATTAATGTCCCAAAAGGATTTCATAATGAGAACATTCAAGGTTATGGATCCAGATGGTAGTATTTAGAGGGTCTCTTCAATAACTTCTGCATACCTGAGCATCACATAGCAGGCTGTGTGGCATCTCAATATAATTTCTGTTTTTCAGTGTAAGCCTGTGTTTGAACAGAGCCTCATCGTGGTAGAGGATGTCATTTCACCTCTATGTTCTGGGTTGAGTTTTGTAGCTTTGAAATGAACTTTGTGGAGTATGTCAACCAATAACATGACTCCACAGTCCTATACATGATATAATGACCAATTCATAACAGATTCAGCCCAAGACACAGGCAGTAGAGGATCATGAAGGAGAAGACCGTGGCAATTACTAACATTGGTTCAGTATAGAAAACCTTTCAGAAAAAGTCATGTGTTCAACTGGATTTTCTAGCTGGATTCACTAAGTTAAATTGTATATACCTTCCAAACCTTATAGATAGTTTCAACCTTTATTGATTAACCTAACCATGGGGAGGATTTGTCTTAGTTCTTTAGAGTTCTGTTTTCTTAATTCATTTCTTAATCTAGTTGCATTATCATGAGTTTAGTAAAATAAACTTCTGCTCAGCTCATATAGAGCCTGGCGTCTCATTCAGAAAGGATAGCCTTTTCCCACTGCTCATGGGAAAAAAAAGTGAAAAAGCAGTCTGCATTTCACAATAATTTCTTCAACTTGAAATAACAATCTGTTCAAACTGTGCATGTTGGAGGAAGGCAAAAACTATAGCAAACCAGTCAGAAACTTAGCCCCAGACCAATGGTCAAAGCCAGGATCGTGGGTTGCTGTCACCAGTCTTGGTAATCTTTAACAATATCCATATAGTTCTTTCCCCTTTATTTTTTGGTTTCAAGGTAAGGTCTACCTGAAATATTTAGGTGCACAAAAAACAAAAGCCACTATTCCCAGCAGTTTTGCAGTGTGAATAAGAACTCCATGTCACATTATTTATAGAAAGCATTTTTTTTGTCCTTAGAGAGGGACATGAAAAGTTGTGGGTTCATAGGTATTGCCTAATGCCTGTTCATGAAAATCGATTTTCCTCCTTGTGAGTGGAGCTGATGTTGGTATTTTAACTCTTATTTAGATTCTGCATGTTGGAGGGAAATAGAACTTTTTTTTTTCCTTTGGGTTTATGTGTACCTCTTAAATATATGACAGATACAATTTCATTCTCTTTTGTAGCAAAGCTTCAAGAGAATCAGCCTGTAGTGTTTAATGAAATGTATAATGATTTAACTCTATTAGAATACAATAATTTTAACAATTTTGTAATGCTTTAAATCAACTCTTGTTTGAAACAAAGTCTAGAATTTTGGTGACTTTCATTTTTGGCCACTTTGCTGGGTTTTTCATTGAGAAGATGCGTTGGGTGTTATATACCATATAATGTTCAGAATCTTAGAACTATTTTTAGATAAGGAGAGCCAGAATTTGGAATATTTCATGACTTCCTCATTTATGACTTAAAGGCTGGTTGAAGTTTAATTCTTTGTAAGAAAAACACATTAGTGAAATTTCAATAAATAATTACACTCACATGTATAATTATGGGCATTTATTTATCTATTTTTTACGACATAGAGTTTTGCTTGCTATGTTGCCCGGGTTGGACTCAAAGTCTTGGGTTCAAGTGATCCTCCTGCATAAGCCTCTCAAGTAGCTGGGGTTATAGACATGTGCCACCATGCCCAGCTGATTATGGACTTTTGAAAAAGATGAGACATGTTAGTTAACAGTGAACAAAAAGCGATAGAAACTTGTCTGTGTCACAACAATGAATGAGAAAGCTTGAAGAAAGCCTGAAGGTGGTACATTGGTTGGAATGTATAATCACTCTGAAAAACCTAGTTTTGGTACTCTGTCTTTAAGAAATAGATACTAATCTCAATCTTTTGGTGAAGAAAAGTTGGTATTTATCTCAGGCTGCACACAGCATTTTAAAGATATGCTACTCTACATGCCCTTGTGTTTCAGTGCACCAGAAAGGCATGTAGTTGTTCTCTGCTGCGTGTTAGAAAGAGTCCTTTAGGTCTTCTGCTGTCAGGTGGGCTCTGCATGTCTCCCCACCCCTCCAAGGAATTCAGGACCTGAGGAGCACATTTCAGAGGTTAAAGACAGACTGGGAACAGGCCTGCATCTCTTCTGTGAAAAGTTCTGGCTGCCTTGCCTCATTCTCTTAATGAGATTTATGCTGTGTGTATGTGGTCATGTGTCTTCAATCAGAGTGTAAACTCCTAGAGGACAAGGACTATTTCTTATATTTCTGGTTTGTATCTCTTATAGTTTCTGGCACATGGTGAATACATTATTTATTCAGCTTGTCTGGGCATTATAATTAGCATGGTGAAAAATATAAAACCAGTCAATAGATAATTGTCAACCTGCTCTATGTCATAGGGTTATTGTGAACATAAAAATCAAAATTGTAAATATTGGAAATACGCATTCTCATTGGTGACAGGAGTCCTCATCTCGTAGCCATGTGAACCGGATAGGTGTGGTAGCATATGGGCACCACCTCTGTGTGCCTTCTGTTTGGAGTTCTCTGACTCTTGCATTTTTAGTTAAGTGAAAGCTAGGTAGATAATTATTGCAGTCACCTGAAATGTGACTTCGGTTTTCTTGCTTGTCGGTAACACAGCACATGCTGCTGGCAGCCTCTAGGAAGGGCATGTGCTCTTGTGATACGCTTCAGGGGCACAGCAAGGAGTGCTTGAATGACTTTGTCTGTGACTTTGGTGCGTGCGTCCTGCTGTTACAAGAGCTTCCCAAATGCTGTTAGCCTTTGGATGTTCTAACATGTTACTAAGCAAAGGACTGAAACAAGAAGAGTATTAGAACTATCACACCCAGAGATAAGGTAGTATATAGAGGATACTGCCCCAGAGATATACTATGTGATTTTATTCCTGGCCCTGCAGTTCACCAGCTGGAATGACATTGGGAAGTTATTTTCTATCTCCAGGCCTCTATGCCCTCATCCATACAGTGGGGGTGCTGGAGATGAGGGCTTCTCTCCCAGGTGAAGTCTGCCATTCTATGATCCTGGTGAGGAGCAAGGGGTGAGACAGAGCCTTTCTGTTTATGCATTTATGAGTCTTACTGCAGTGAAGCTTCCTGTGTATGGAAGTGTAAATTCACAGACTTCAAAGTGAGAAAGACCTGAGTTCAGATGGTATTCAGCCTGGTACCAGCTGTGTGGGTCATGCTTAGTCTCTCTCCTTTAATCCTACTCACCTGGAAGATGGAATTAACCACCCATCTTCACAGGAGCCTGCCTGCCTTTGGTGGGTACTGAGTCAGTGTTCTTTTGAAGAAAAACAGGAGAAAAAGGCCCTATTACTTTCGTTTATGTTGCTGCAATTCTCATGAAGTATCTAGTAGAGATTTCAACATCTATGTTAATTCATAATTCTCCAAGTAGACATAGGGTAGGTAGATCTGAAATTAGAACTCTTTTTTTAATTTGAATTTTTATTTAAGGATATCTGGAAGAATGTTTCAAATTCTGATTAGAGTTTATTATGTGAAATAATGGAACACAAAAAATAATGTCAATAACAGAATAAAAACAGAATCATGGAACCAAAAAAATGAAAATAGTTTATTCTGCCTAATTTTGTGTATTTGAAATTCTTTAAATTAAAATGTTTTAAAAAGAAAAGATGAGCTCTCTAAATAAAAATATTTTTGAAAACTACATAGGTGCAGAGGACTCAGAGGGAGACCTGAAAGCAACATTTCTTAGTCACCCTCACTGTTTATTTCCTAAGTCTGAGGAATCTGCCGCGGGGAAGGAGCTGACCTGAGTGTCTACACTAACTGCAAGGGTGTTGAAGCCATTGGTTATCCTGCCTCTCTTCTCTCCTGTAGAACCAGGTACAGTTCTGATCCGTGGGCCGGCAGAGAAGAGCGGCAATAGTGCGGCAGAAACAGGGAAAGAGATTGGGTGTTTTGCTCATTTTAAGTGCTCTAAGCAGTCAGTAATTGAGTGGAAGACAGATTCCTTTCTGTTACCCTTGGGGAAGCGAGCCTGATGCCTCTTTGCCATAGCCATGTAGCTAGAAAGGGTGCAGGCATTGCCGCAGACAAGTATAGAATCACGTCAATACTCCATGCCTTAACTACCAGGAAATATCCACCTTGGCCAGACCAGAGATTCCTATGCACTCCCTCATTTTAGAGGCAGAACAAAAGAGGATAAGGGAGACTCAGTCTTTTCCCTAGAGGCAGCTTGCAGTAACTCTTAGAAACCATTCTGCAGGACATTAATAACAAGGTGTTGAAGCTATTCCTATATCACCAAGAGCTGACTAGCATCATGAAGTCAGCTGTAATGTAACTTCCTTAAGAGCAGAGCTTATGCTTTATGTTTCTTGTTATTCCTCATCATCTCAGCACAGGAGCTTATGAATCGGCAGGGCTCAATAAGTGGTGATTCATTCATGTGCTATTTGTTGTAAGTGAGAGGCTGTTTGCCACACTGGAATTGAGAGGATTTGGAGACGGGTGCTTTTTTGAAAAAGACTCCAGTCGTTAGGCTTAATAAAGAAATATAGACGGGTGCAGGTATTGTAGCTGAACCTGGAAATGTGCTATGGAATGTTTACTTAACGCAGGAAATAAATTACATTAAAATTCAGTAGCATTAGGGGGAAAAAACCCAACAATTAGCCTAACTTTTTTCCTCAGTAAACCTATTTAATTTTACACTAACGATCTAGTGTACATCTGTGCGTAAAGGCGTAGTAAGACAGTGTTACTTTAATGACTTTATCAGAAGTGAAAAAAGGGCATTATTAAAAATGCCACTTGCATTACCCTTTAACCAGGGGCTCATTATTCCCTCTCCTGCTGTGGAACAGGGGCCAGCGTTTGACTAAATTGGTAGAATTATCTTGGAAATACGAGTTTGCTTATCATTTAATATTCTCTGATGACCTGCTGCTTGAGATCTTTTGATCTGTAGTGAAATCTTTGCATGTCACTACCTGGCTTCAAAGAAAAACATTTGCAGTTGCTGTGTTATGGCTAATGTGAGAAGACCATTTTTTTTTTTAAGCGGAAAGAAATATCTGCTCTTGCAAAACTCCTATTTTAAGAAGAGGTATCCTCCACTAAAGATGCAGAGTTAGACTGATTTTAATAATGTCAGAATGGCCAATAAATATATTAATACAAGGAATTGAAAATCAATGAGCTGTGATAGTAATTACAGATAGTACCCAAGGGAAATATAGCAGGCAGACAAATCCTTTCCCTCAGGGCCTGCCCTGGGCAAAGCTATGAAGTTGAGAATTCTGCCCTTCTTCCCTTTAGCAATGTACTTTCTCTTTCAACTTAATTCTCCTGCCACCCACAATCCAGATGTCCCTGCGCTCTGATGGTGCTGTAATGGTTCAAGGTACCAACAGATGACCAGTTCTAACCACAGTCTCATTAGTTGAAGAGAATGTAAAGTGCCCTTTCCTAGAGTTATTTGCATTTTTATAGGGTCAGTGCTTTGTAAAAAGGAATATTTCTTAAGGAAATTAAATACTCTGAGTGATTTGAGCATTTTGATTTCAGGCAAATTAACCTTTCCAGAATATTTCAGCTTCTACAAGATCATGGTCTGCATTGTCTCCTTGTCTTTGTGGAAGAATTTTTTTAAAAAAATCTGGACCATCAAGCGTGTTTTCTCTGTAGATGTGTTTTCTTGAGCTAATGTTTGCATACCGGTTCAGAGTTTATAAAGTGCATCACAAAAAATATCCTTTTTTATTTATTTATTTTTTTTTGAGACGGAGTCTCGCTCTGTCGCCAGGCTGGAGTACAGTGGCACGATCTCAGCTCACTGCAAGCTCCACCTCCCGGGTTCAAGCGATTCTCCTGCCTCAGCCTCCCAAGTAACTGGGATTATAAGTACATGCCACCATGCCTGGCTAATTTTTGTATTTTTAGTAGAGACGGGGTTTCACCATGTTGACCAGGATGGTCTCGATCTTCTGACCTCGTGATCCACCTGCCTTTGCCTCCCAAAGGGTTGGGATTATAGGCCTGAGCCACTGCGCCTGGCCAAAATATCCTGTTTAACCTTTAGAGGAGTTTTGCTTCTGACCACAAAGGATTAACTCTTGTGGGAATTGACTCCCACCATGAACAACTAGAAACTCAGATGAAATAAGAGATGTTTTTTCACATATTGGACAACAAGCGATGGTCCTTGAGAGGAGAGCAGAAAACGTGATGAACTCTACAGTGGCCTCAGCTTACTGCTTGGAGGTAACTTCCGGGCGGCAAAGCAGGGAGGAAGAACCCAAACAGGGCCTCGCCGTCTCACTGAGCTAAGCAGACAGGGTTTGGTATTTGGAGAAGTTAGGACAACTAGTTTGTGAGAAGAATACTGTAGAGGAGGGAATTGCACAAAGAGAGAGCTCTGGAGATCTCCAGAGGGGCCCACTAAAGGGTTTGGTGAGTACTTATCTTCCTGTGTATTGGAGGAAGGCAAGGAAAGGTCGGCCATACAGCAGTAGGTTGAACAATTCTTGGAGCTCACATAAAGCTGACAGAAATCAGGGTGGAGAGACCTCTTCATATGTGAGGCATTGGGAAGAGGGCTTGGAAGGGTCACAGCTTAGTGGCCCTGAGTCCTGGAATAGACTGCTCTGGACCTACCCTGACAAGCCTTAGAAACAAGCATTGAAAGGACCGAACTGATCTGCAAGTCACTCAGCTGTATACCAGAACAAAAATGCACTCCAAAGAATACACGATCTAGTGCTGAATGATGTAAAAATCACAATGTCTGGCATCCGATCAAAATTACCAGATGTACAAAGAAGCAGGAAAATAGAACTTATAACCAAGTTTTAAAAATGAATCAATAGAAACACATCCAGAAATGACAAATAATTGGCAAAGATCTTAAAACATCTATTTTGTATCTTATATGCTCACAAATGTGAAGGAAAACATGAAAATGATGAGAAGAGAAATGGAAGGTACAAAAAGATAAAAAATTAAACAGATGAAACATACACCATGTATGTCTGTTTTTGCATTGCTGTAAAGAAATACCTGAGGCCAAGTGCTCACGCCTGTGATCCCAAGGGAGGTGGATCACTTGAGCGCAGGAGTTCAAGACTAACCTGGACAATGTGGTGAAACCCCATTTCTACAAAAAATACAAAAATTAGCCAGGCATGGTGACACATGCCTGTAGTCCCAGCTACTCCGGAGGTTGAGATGGGAGGATTGCTTGAGCTCGGGAGGTGGAGGTTGCAGTAAGCCAAGATCCCATCACTGCACGCCAGCCTGAGCAACACGAGACTCTGTCTCAAAAATAAATAAATAAATAAATCATGGCAGAAAGCAAAGTGGGAGCTCGTGCATCATGTGGTGAGAGGGAGCTGGTGCCAGGATAACAACTTGTGAACTCAGAGTGAGAACGCATTCATTACCATGAAGACAACACCAAGCCATTAATGAGGGATCCGCCCCCATGACCCAAACACCTCTCCCTAGGCCCACCTCTAACATTGGAGGTCGCATTTCAACATGAGATTTGAAGGGGAAAAAAACTTCCAAACCATATCATACTGTATTTAAAATTTTAAAAATACAGTGGATGACATTAATAGATACTGCAGAAGAAAAGATCAATGTCTGAATACGTAGCAATAAAAACTATCCAAAGTAGGCCGGGCACGATGGCTCATGCCTGTAATCCCAGCACTTTGGGAGGCCGAGGTATGTGGGTCACTTGAGGTCAGGAGTTCGAGACCAGCTTGGCCAACATGGCAAAACCCTGTCTCTACTAAAAAATAAAAAAATACAAAAATTAGCCAGGCGTTGTGGCTCATGCCTATAATCCCAGCTACTCAAGAGGCTGAGGCAGGAGACTCACTTGAGCCCGGGAGGTGGAGGGTGCAATAAGTTGAGATCGTGCCACTGCTCTACAGTCTGGATGACAAAGCAAGACTGCATCTGTCTCAAAATAAATAAATAAATAAATAAATAAATAAATAAATAAATAATAAAAACCTATCCAAAATAAAGCACAAAGCACAGAGAGAAAAGAAATAGAGGCTTAAGATAAAAACAGAGCTTCAGTAAGCAGCTGTGGAACAATAGCAAGTTGCTTATCATACCTACAATTGGACTTTCAAGAAGAGGGAGATCAGAAAAAAATATTTGAAGAAAAAAAGCTGAACATTTTTCAGATGGGATGGAAACTATAAACTCACAAATCCCAGGAAGTTTAATGAGCCCCAAGCAGAATAAATGGCACTAAAACACAGAATAATCAAATTGCTAGAAACAAGTAATAAAGGACATAGTCTTAAAAGCAGCCAGGGGGCAAAAAATACACCTTACACATGAAGGAAGATAAATCAGTCTTCTTATCTGAAATCAGTCAGGAAAGAAGAAAGAAATTGCAGGCAGAAAGAAACGGATACTAGGTAGGAATTTAGATTTATACAGGAAATGAGTAATGGTAAACATATGGGTCAATATAAAAGAATTTAAAAATCTTTTTAAAAGACAGTTGACTGCTGAAAGCAAATATAACAATGCATGGTGGAGTTCGTGACATATTGAATGAAAATGAGTAGTAACGACAGCACAGGACAGGGTTATGGAAGGAAGTATAGGTAGAGTTCTCCCACCACTTGTGAAGTGGTATGGTATTATTTGAAGGTAGGTCAGTAAGTCGTAAGTGATAACTTGTGATAAAGCCTTATGTTGTAAATTCTAGAGCAGCCACCCACACAAAACAACCAGATACAGTTGTCAGGACCAATAGTGGAGATGAACCAGAAACACTGCAAAAAAAAACCCCTCAATTTATCTAAAAGAAGAAAAGTCAAAAGGAACAGAGTACAGATAGCAAGATGGTACATTCTAGAGTAATCAAAGGATAGAATCTAGAGTAGTCAAAATCTTCGACAGTAGAATGAAGTTGCCAGGTGTTGGGGGAGAGGGAAATAGGGAGTTGTCCTGTGAGTATAGAGTTTCAGTTTTGTAAGATGAAAAAAGCTCTAGACATCTGTTATACAGCGTTGTGAATATAGTTAACACTACTGAGTTGTACACTTAAAAATGGTTAAGAGGGTAAATTTTATGTTATATGTTCTTTACCACAATTAAGAATTTAAAAAAAAACATTTTTTGAACCAGAGGGCTTAGGATTTATAACTGTATAGGAGAGCAAATATGGATTACTAAACTGGCTAAGGGGAGACTTGAGCAGATTGCTTTGTATAGTTCAAAGGGGCAGTGATTTTTAAGAAATCTGTTTGTTATAGCAGCAACCATGTGTGAGTATATGGCCTTCCTTATACTTACAATGAAAACTTAGATGAATTTTGGCTTTGACAGCATCCTTCTTGTAACTCTAGAGGAAGAAGTTTCGTATGAAAGGTGAGACTATTCGTGTTTAGCCATGCCAGTCCTGTTGATTGCCTGTGTACAAGGCCTGTCCTCAGATCAGAAACTGGAATTCTTATGTCTGATAACATTTTATTTTAGAAAAATTTAAATATCTATAAAAAAACCTATCAAGAGAAATTAGAAGACATGATCACATCTTGAAATAAAAGCTATTAATAGTTTAGAAAACTTTCTTCCTGGAACATAATAATTCTGTGGTGAACATTGTTTTAAGATAAAAAGTGAAAGGATAGAAAAAGATACGTTATGCAAACACTAAATAACAGCAAAACCAAAATGTTGGTGCCCTGTATTCATATCAAAGTAGGCCTCAGAACAATAATATAACCAGAGATAAAATTGAGCATCTCATAATAAGGATGTCAATTCATTAAGAGAACATAATAGTTTCATGTGCTTGTCTGCCTTAGTAATCCTTTGAGTAGATGTAATATTGTTTTTATTAGTAAATAAAGTTGCAGAGATGATATGCATGTAAGATCACACAACAAGTAAGTAACAGGCACTGAACTGTAGTCCATGTCTTGTGAATCAGTCTTTTCATTATTGCAGGGTATTTGTCTTTGTAACTTGGTTTTGATCATTGTAACTAGTTATCACATTGGACATGATCTGATACCAGACATAATTCCTACTAATATATTGATGTGTAAGAAGAATCTAATATAGATCTTGTGAAAAGTTTTTGTTCAGTACCCCAGTAAATGCAAATTTGCCTAGAGTCACAGAGCCTTTTATGCAGTATCCTACAGTAAATGTGAACTCTTTTGAATCACTCTTTCACCTTAATTTCATAGGATTAAAAAATATTTTACTACATAAGATATGTTTGTTTTATATAAAATAATGTTTGTATTTACTTAATGGGCAAACATAATCCCTGGTCACCACATGGGCAAAATTCTATTTCACTGTGTGTCTATCAATTTTTGAAATCAATAGATTGAGCAGAACTGACACCACATATTAGATTCACCTTCTAGAAAACTCCCCTAGTGTTTTGAGAAACCAATGTAACAATAAAGATGTCAACAGGTTTTTTTTGTTTTGTTTTCTTTACAAATTATGTCAGAGAATCATCACTGAGAAAAATGCTGTGCTCTGAAGGCATTCGACCTGGTGACAATTTTGATCTGTTTCATGTCTTACTAGGTGATCATATCTGTGGCTACAGAAGAAGGAAACTGTGTTCAGTGTCATTGGTCAGTCCTTTCTGTTGTCTTAAGAAAATGCGAAGAAAGTGTCATAAGGAAATATGAACTTCTTTTCATCTATCTTAAATGAACTATAATGTTCAAGGTGACTCATAGTCTCTATGACTGATTTTAACTCTCAAACTCCAGTTTCATTGCCATATTCTTGTCATAACTAATTATATCTTTTTCAGTAAATTCATGAAGATAATAATTGAGATTATTCACTCTTTAAAGCCTTTATCTGCTAAATAAGGCAGTCTTGTTTCTTTAAAATTCAGATAAAGAAGGAATTTCTTTTCTTTTTTTTTTTAACTGTGGTTACACACTTTATTTTTAACTTGAAATAAATTAATGCAACTGTGCATTTAAAACCTTGAGCCTCCCTTAGCTAAGTCAGCTCTAACAAGGTAGTCGAATGAGCCTTCTGGGTTGCTTGAAGTTTTGTTATAAATTTCATATAAAAGATGAGTATTCAGACTACTTAAAAATAGTCAATGTATTGTAAATGGTAAAAAAAAAAAAAGCAAAATATTTGAGGTGAAGCATTTTCTATAAACAGTGCAGGGGCTGTTGGTTCTGATCATAGATATATTTTCAAGATTATATTTTTCCCCAATCAGCATTATACTCATGAAAACTTACATACTGTTGAAAATTTAACATTCTTTCACCATCAGCAATTTTGCAAAATAACATTATTTTCATAGACATCATCATCAAAACCCTTAATGGATGTCGTTTTATGAAGTTAGAAGATAGATGTAGAGACAGTTATGTCTTTCCATTGACATTGCATGTCTATGCTAAATTTGCTCTTCTCCTCTCAAATTTTATTTGCCATAGTAGCTTCTGACTTCTATACTGACATAAATATATATAAATAGAGATTTTGCCTTAATCTTCTTTGGATTATTGCCCTTGGGTATATTCACATTTCTATGCAGTGTTTTTGAGCTGTAGAAATGTGTCTGAGAGCTATGTAAAACATTTTTCTGTTTAAATTCAGGTATAATAAAATGTATGAATTCAGCAAGAATAAGTGAAATTGTATACATAATACTTAGCATAGTACACAATATGTCAAGTAATCAAAAAGTAACTGCCATTGCATTTGTTGTTAATCTGCATTTCTCCTGAGTTTTGTGATGTAAAATATTTCAGATTTGAAAATTAAAATATGTGGCTAGGGCAGTGGCTCATGCCTGTAATGCCAGCACTTTGGGAGGCCGAGGCGGGTGGATCACCTGAGGTTGGGAGTTTGAGACCAGCCTGACCAACATGGAGAAACACCATCTCTACTAAAAATACAAAAAATTAGCGAGACATGGTGGCACATGCCTGTAATCCTAGCTACTCAGGAGTCTGAGGTAGGAGAATTGCTTGAACCCGAAGGATGTTGTGAGCCGAGATCGCGCCATTGCACTCCAGCCTGGGCAAGGAGCGAAACTCCGTCTCAAAAAAAAAAAAAAAAAAAAAATGTTTCCAGTTATTCACATAGATGTTGAAAAAAGATTTAACATTAATGATGCTCCAAAGTAATGCTGTGCTTTATTACTTTATTATCAGGAAAAAATTGCTACTGTCAGTCTGTTTATACTGTAAAATCAAAACATTGATATTGTGCCGTTATATACTTGCCTTTTACCAATAATTGCCATTTTAAAATAGATGTGTTTAATTCTGTATTCTGGATTTTACTCAGAAATACTATGTCTTATCATGTGTGTCTTTCCTTAAACATGAACTACTAAAAACAATTGTTACTGTAGAAAGCATTTCAAACGTTATTCAGAAACATATATGGTTGTGACAGTTAAATGAATGATGGTTTTTAAAAAACTTTCAATTTCCCAAATTGAATAAAAAACTTTTCTAGTTAATATGTAGTATTTTAATTCAAATTGTTTCCAAAAACATAAAACATTATTAGCATTCAGTGTCTCCATTGTCTTAGAAAATGATCCTTGAAGAAATATAAGAAAACTGTAAGAGGCAAAAATAATGTATGACATATGATGTGGCCAGTTTATTTAATAGAGTTTATTTAATAGATATTTGCGTTTTTTAAAAAAATGATGCATATGACTATGCTTTTATGATATAACATTTCTAAATGGTGGGGAAAAAATTCAAGTTTCTGGCACTTGCAATTTTTGAACCAATCATCTTTACATTATTCCCTAAACAATGTCTTGCTATTGTTAAGAGACCTATGGCCTTTATTGGACAGAGTAAATTGTTTTCAAATGCAGTTGCACCTATATAATCTGACCCTACTTTATATAGCTGACTTTATTTCTCAGAACCTTTCAGCCTGCTTGTGATCAGGGTGTGTAGTGGCCTTTTGTGATTGCCTGACATCTTTTATTTATCATGTTGACATGTTGTTACTTTCTTGTGTTGTGATTCCAGTCCTCCCAAGATAGAATCTTTATTTTTTCATCTGCATTTCCTAGACTCTCTTGCTGCTAGGATATGGACATGTTGCCCATCTGCTGTACCATGCATAAAAGGGATGCAGAAGGGAGCAATGTAAGGCTGCCTGCACACAGAACAGCTGTTTGGGCAAGTGCAATGGTTAGGACTTAACGGCGTTGTGGCAGAGGCTGTGACATTTCTGGCACCACACACTTGGAGGTGGCAGCAGTGGTATTTTTACTGGAGCAGACCTAGTGTGCTTGCGCTTTGCCCCACCCATGTTGTTCCTGGCTGATTCTCTGATGTACTGAGATTTCTGAGCTGATATTTGAAAAAGTGTCTCTATCCACTTAAACTATACGGAGGGGATTCTGTTGTTTGCAGCTGATACAGTGAGATGTACTCTCTTTTCTGATCAGTAGATCTTATTTTGATGACTATGCGATACGATGTGTGGATTTTGAAGCCAAATTTTCTGTATTTATGTCCTACTCTGACACTTTGTGTAACCTGGGCAAGCTACTTAATCTGTCTCAGTTTCTTTATCTGTAAAATGGGGATTATAATATCTGCCTCATGGAGTTTCTGGGAAAGTAAAGAAGTTAATATATGTAATATTTCTTAGCTAATAGCAGTGACTACAACCTGAAGCACCCTCCTCTGTTCCTTTAGTTTATTTCAGTCATAGTTGTCTTGCAAGTCCCAGCACAAAATCCCTCTTCCAGAAAGCATTTCCATTGATCTCTCTTGTATTTGCACTTTTATTGAATCTACTTACAATCACTACCCACCCAATTTAGCACTTAATTGAGCTTAAATTTTATCATGTGGATTAATTCTCTTCTCAGTTTGATTTCAAACACATTCATTTTTAGTCACAAAATGGTGTGAGTTATGAGGGATGAAGGTAGGCAAGAATCTGACTTGAAGGAGCCCCACAGTTTACTTGGAGAGTGATCCTAATATTGAATTTTCAATAAGAATGTCTATGGGGGGTACTATTTATGAATGCTTTTATGTGCTTGGGCACTTATATTATCTGACACCCTAGTAATCTTGTGGTGATCATTGCCACTTTACCAATGAGGACAGCTGTAATTAATAATGGTTAAGGAACTTGAGGGTCACCCAGCTTCTCAGTGTCAGAATCAGCTACGTTTAACGTTGCTTTTTTTGTGATACAAAGTGGCAACTTAAATGCCAAAAGCATGTTAGGTAAGACAGTCATGGGAAATCATTGATTTTTGCAGGTCTTGAAGAATTATTCTCATTATTTTATCATGTTTCATGAAAAATGCATATTGAAATAATGCCATCTATTGATTAGTAGATAGAAACTGATTTGGTTAATTTAGGCTTGCATTTCCTTAGTGTTGGAAATGTACTTCCTCTGACTTATTCAGTGTTTGTGGTATAAAGAAAAATAGCAACAAGTACTGCTTTCCATTTGTATATACCCCTTGCATAATTGAGAGCACTTACTTGTGTGTTATTATTTGGTATTTTCTCAATTCATTGAGAAGATGGAATAGAGTATTGTGGTCACCATGTATCACATGAAAACATAATGATCACTTGCTTAAATCTCAGAGATAATTGTAACCATTGTGAGATTATCGCCTAGAACTTCTAACACTTAACCTTTAGCTAAAGGGTTTAACTGCCTGCATATTTCAAGTGCCTGTATATAGTTTACGGTTTTCAGTAAAAACTGTGGATGGACAAGATCCCCAGAAATCATCGTGGACTTAAGAGATAGATGTTGGCCAGGTGTGGTGGCTCACGCCTGTAATCCCAGCATTGTGGGAGGCTGAGGCAGGCAGATCATGAGGTCAAGAGATAAAGACCATCCTGGCCAACATGGGGGAACCCCGTCTCTACTAAAAATACAAAAATTAGCTGGGTGTGGTGGTGTGTGCCTGTAATCTCAGCTACTCAAGAGGCTGAGGCAGGAGAATCACTTGAACCCGGGAGGCGGAGGTTGCAGTGAGCCGAGATCATGCCACTGCACTCCAGCCTGGTGACAGAGTGAGACTCTGTCTGAAAAAAAAAAAAAGAGATCCCAGCACTTTGGGAGGCCGAGGCAGGCGGATCACGAGGTCAGGAGATCAAGACCATCCTGGCTAAAACGGTGAAACCCTGTCTTTACTAAAAATACAAAAAAAAAAAAAAAATTTAGCCGGGTGTGGTGGCACGCACCTGTAGTCCCAGCTACTCAGGAAGCTGAGGCAGGAGAATTGCTTGAACTCCAGGAGGTGGAGGTTGCAGTGAGCCGAGATCGCGCCACTGCACTCCAGCCTGGGCAACAGAGCAAGACTCGATCTCAAAAAATAAAAAATAAAATAAAGAGGTAGATGTTAATATTAGTATAAGGAAGTTCTGGCCTAATGTTAGAGGTGGAAACAGAGCTGACTCTTGTTAGTAAAGGTTTGGAGAAGAGGTAAAAGATGAAAGGGTGTTATGGGCTGGATGGAGATAGTGTGGAAAACACGGATGGGAATGGGGCTTATCCTGTACCAAGGTACTGCCCCACAGCTGATGTTTTCCAGTAAGAGAGGGTACGTTCCTCATTGCTTTGTACAAGAAAACTGTTACTTGTAATATAAAATAAGAATCCTGAGTTAGTATTGATTTGGGGAGGAGAGGAGTGATCAAGGGGAGAAGCCTCTGGGCTCTCCCACTTTTAGCTGGCTGCTTAGTCTTCTTCCCTTTCTCACCTTCTCAATGGTGCAACTCCTTACTTCTTTCTGTGGTACTGGATTTTCAAGCCTGTTCAACTGTTCTAGAGTTCATTTAGATAAAATGGGAATTATTGTATTTGTTCACATAAAAGCTGTGTTATATTTTAAGTGGTAAGACATTTGAGTTTCATACATGACACCCTTTCACATTTTTTATGCTATTTCGTATGACTTTATTTCAATTCCATGTTAACACTTTGGGAAGAATTCATGGGATAACTTGGCACTTTTTTTTTTTTTTCAAAGGAGACACGGAGTTGAGTGCTGTTCTGTCATGTTCTCAGTTGTCTTCTAAAATGGGGTGAATGTGATTATGCAGACTCTCCATTTTACTGAAATGATACAATTCTACAGATATGCACTGAATGTACCCTGATCTGCAGAGACACAATTACTTGAGTAATTCACGCAGAGAAACTACGTGTGCTTAAAACCGAACCATTTATTCTGTGTCTAAAAACCATGTGTTAGAGTGATATAGTTTGATTAGTTCTGAAAAGTAAGTTCTACCTTTGGTTCTCCTTTATTTATGTTAAAAAAAAAAAAAAGAGAGAGAGAGAAAAGGAGCATTGAAGAAATATCCTGAAGATACAGACACACCTCAGAGATATTGCAGAGTTGGTTCCAGAGCACCACAATAAAGCAAATATTGCAATTAAGCAAGTCACACAATTTTTTTTTGTTTCCTAGTACATATTAAACTTATGTTTATGCTCTACTGTATTCTATTAAGTGTGCAAGACCATTACATCTAAAAACAATGTATATACCTTAATTTTACAGGACTTTATTGCTAAAAAATGCTAACGATCATCTGGACTTTCAGCAAATCTTCATCTTTTTGCTTCTGGAGGGTCTGCCTTGTGTGTTGATGGCCACTGACTGATCAAGGTGGTGGTTGCTGAGGTTGGGGTGGCTGTGGCAATTTCCTAAAATGAAACAATGAAGTTTACTGCATCAGTTGACTCTTCTTTCATAAAAGATTTCTCTGTAGCATGCAATGCTATTCGATAGTGTTTTACCCACGGTGGAACTGCTTTCATGATTGGAGTCAGTCCTCTCAAACCCTGCCTCTGCATGCTCAACTACGTTCATAAAGTATTCTAAATCTTTTGTTGTTGTTTCAACAATGTCGACAGCATCTTTACCTGGAGTAGATTCCATCTAAAGAAACCATTTGCTTATCTGGAAAAAGCGACTCCTCATCTGTGAAAATTTTATCTGAGATTGAAGCAATTCCATCATGTCTTCAAGCTTTACTTCTAGTTCTAGTTCTCTTGCTATTTCCACCACATCTGCAGTTCCTTCCTCCGCTGAAGTCTTAAACACCTCCAAGTCATCCATGTGGGTGAAATCAACTTATTCCAAACTCGTGTTAATGTTGATACTTTGACCTCCTCCCATGAATCACAGGATGTTCTTAGGGTGTCTAGAATAGTGAATCCTTGCCAGAAAGTTATCAATTTACTTTGTGTACGTCCATCAAAGTAATCATTATCTATGGCAGCTATAACTGTATGAAATATATTTCTTTAATAATAATAATTGAAAATCAAAATGACTACTTATCCACGGGCTGCAGAATGGATGTGTTAGCAAATATGAAAATAATATTAATCTCCTTGTACACCTCTGTTAGTGCTTTTGGGTGACTAGGTACATTGTCAAAGTAATATTTTGCAAGGAATCTTGTGTTCTGAATAGTAGGTCTTAATAGTGAGCTTAAAATACTCCGTAAATCATGCTGTTAACAGATGTACTGTCATCCAGGCTTTGTTGTTCCATTTCTAGAGCAGACAGTAGATTTAGCATCATTCTTAAGGACCCTAGGATTTTCAGAGTTGTAAATGTGCACTGGCTTCAATTTAGAGTCACCAGCTACATTAGCCTGTAACAAGAGAGTCAGCCTGTGCTTTGAAGCCAGGCATTGACTCCTCTCTTGCTATGCAAGTCCTAGATGCCATCTTTTTCCAATACAAGGTTGTTCTGTATACACTGAAAGTCTGTTGTTTAATGTATATTCTCAACTTCATCAATGATCTTAACTAAATCTTCCAGATAACTTGCCACAGCTTTTACATCAGCTGTTGCTTTATCTTGTATTATTATGTTACAGAGACAGTTTCTGTCCTTAAACCTCATGAACCAAGCTCTAGAGCTAGCTTCAGACTTTTCTTCAGTAGCCTTATCATCTCTCTCAGCCTCATAGAATGGAAGAAAGTTGGAGACTTGCTCTGGATTAGGCCTTGGCTCAAGGGAATGTTGTGGCTGGTTTGATCACCTGTCGAGACCACTCAAACTTACTCCATATCAGCAATAAAGTTGTTTCACTTTCTTATTTGTATATTCACTGGAGTAGCACTTTTAATTTCTTTCAGGAACTTTACCTTTTCATTCACAGTGTGGCTATTTGGTTTAAGAGGCCTAGGTTTCAGCCTGTTTTGGCTTTCAACATGCCTTTCTCACCAAACTTAGTCATTTCTAGCTTTCTATTTAAAGTGAGAGACATGGAACCCTTCCTCTCAGTTGAACACTTATAGCCATTGTAGGGTTGTTACTTGGCCTAATTTCAATACTTAATGTCTCAGGGAATAGGGGGCTGGAGGAGATGGAAAGAGATAGGGGAATGGCTGGTGGGTGGGGCAGTCAAAACACACACATTTATTAAGTTCATAGTCTTCTATGGGCAGGGTTCATGGCACCCCAAAAAATCACTGTAGTTACATCAAAGATCACTGATCACAACTCGCCATAACAAATATAATAATGAAAACATTTGAAATATTGGGAGAATTACTAAACCAAAATGTAAGACAGAGACACAAAGTGAGCACATGCTGTTGGAAAAGTGGCACCAATAGATTTCTAAATGCAGGGTTGCCCTAAACCTAAAATTTGTTAAAAAGGCAGTATATGTGAAGCACAATAAAGCAAAGCACAATAAAATGAAATCTACCTGTACTTAAAATGCCTTGTATAATTCATATTTTAGGATAATATACTTCGTTATGTACTTTGTAATTTAAAGAGTTGGCCATGCTCTACCTGAGTCCTACTTTACACCTGTGTATATGCTTTGCATGCTTCAGAGTGCTTTCTTTTGCCTTTTCATATGATGTTTGTGTCAGTTCATTGAGAAGATGGAATAAAAGTATTGTGATCATCATTTTTCCCAAGAGAAAAGTGAAAAATTCATGTTTTACCCACATGTAGTATCATTTGATAATTATTTCCAGTGGATAGCCAGAAAATGCAGGTGTGCCTGCATGGTATTGATGATCAGTGTCTGAGATATGTCTGCCTCACAACTCGGAAGCCTGGTGTATGGAATACAACTATCTTCAAAGTGTAGTCTGCAGACTATGACTGTAAAATATCCTGGGTTCCCACGCCAGACCTACCAAATCAGGATCTGTGGGAAGAAGAAAAACACCCTGGGTGTTCACCAGATTCCCCAGGTGGTTCTCATGCTTAACAGCAATCTGAGAACAGCTGACACAGATGAGGGTAATAAGGTCCCTGGTTCATTGGGCTTCTGGGGACTGTGATTTCTAAGGTGCTGCTTTCTAAATCACAGGACCCACCCTTCTGGAATGGAACAATTAAAAAGTGACTGCCCTGACCCTCAGAATGTCTGCCCTGTCTGATGGGCACAGCCTGTTAGAGGAGCCAGGGGGTGCTGCAGCCTGGAGACGTCTGAGAAATTTTTAGTAGCTGAAATTGCTTAGTAGATACATATACATTCTGAGTGGCACAAATGATTCCTTTAAAACTCCGTGAGAGTTGGGAGGAAATTGAGTTATAAGAAGTATAGTAAGTGAGATATGGGTAATACTGGGACACTTTCTCCAGCAGCCTTTGAATTCCTGCAGAGTCCAGTGAATTTCCATTGTCATAGGCAGCATTGTATTTCCAAGTTCCAAGCCAATTACCATTGAATCATGAGAAATGTACTCACTCTATCTTTGAAGCAGTAGTTCACATTTTAGTCATTGACATTTTATTTTACCTCTTCTCTGCTAAGAGAGTGAATGACTCATTTAGAAGATAAAAAAAATACTTGAACTGTTTAAAATATTGATGTTATAAGTGCCATAACTTTGAAGAGGAAGCATGAAAATTGGCATTTAAATGACATCTCCAAAGATTCCACATCTTTTGTACAGAATAAGAGTCACTATTGGAGTGAACCTGAGATGCTGGATTTCGAATTTGTGGCGGAAGGTCTGATGGCAGGGCTGCTGTGCCTGGCTGAGTACCACATAAAGCCACCCTACAGAGGAGGCCTGGGGGTTAATATTCAGTCTGTGCTAACCTGGCCAATCAGGAGCCCTAGTGCATGATTTTTCTGGCATGTATTTTTCTGATTATCTGAAAAGAAATGTCTGGTTTTTACAAGTTTGAATGTAGGGTTTTGGATTAGCTGAAGCCTTGCACAATACCTAGGACAGTGCAGAAAGTGTGCTCCCAGTCAGTGTTCACTGTCTTTTAATTTATTGAGCCTGACAAGAAGTCAGAGATGCTGTGTTTCTGGGATACAGTGTACAGAGAATTCTCATTCCATTATCTCTGACATGGATGATCAGAGGAATCTGCCTCTCTCCTGGTTGTAAGAAGAGACAGATTATACCTCCCCACCCCCAACAAAACAAAATTAATAAACAAATTGTATAAAATCTTACACATAAGATTCATGTCACACTGTTCTCCCTCAGCTGTTCCTCCAGTCCAAAATCAAATTCCTAATTTCTCTTTGGCTGTGCAGCTTCTTGATTTTGCCAGTCTTTTCCATGGGTGCTGAGATGTTAAGCTCATCTTCAGTCCTGTGCTGTACCTGAAATACAGGAATGATCTGTTTATGACCAGGAGTATCTGTAGAATGTCTAACATAGACAACTGAAGGGGGAAAAAGCAAACGCCACTTTGGTCTGCAATTCATATGTAAAATGTTTAAGGCAAAGGGCAAGAATAAAGTAATTTTCAGTGTAAAGAAAATATGAAGGTTTTACTCCTTGAAGGTAATATCAGTGTAAATAGAAAATAGTTTCATTGAAACTAGACAATAAATTAATTCAGTTAAATGCAAACTAGATACCAAAACAATTGTATGCAATAGTAGAAAATCCTGATTCTTCATACTGTGAAAAGCATGACTTTTTTTAATTAAAAGATTGTGTACAATTAAAAAACATAATGCTAATTATTGATTCTGCAACCACATAATAGAAAGCCCACAGATTCTAAAGCTCCTCTTTCCTTTGTAATCTCTAGGTGTGATAATAGTGGTGTAGTATTTCTTTTAAACTTTAACAAATCAAGAGGACACTTCCTCCATCCTCAGGGCACTGTATAGGGGTTAGCTGCAGATAACTGCAAAAGACACGTATCTAGAAAGATATGGGTTAAGCATGGGTTTTAAAATGTGTGTTATTTATTCCCCAGGGGAGGCACTTCTTAACATACTTGAATTACTATCAACATGTATTATTAGATTTAACATGTATTATATATCTTGTATATATCTCATATATACACATGTATTATTACATTTTTGCATTAATATGTATTATTGCATATTTTACCATTACATTTGATTCTTACAACTGAATTTTCAGCTGGGGAGATTAAGTTGTGGAATATGTAAGTGCCTATGTGAACTCAAAGCTTAGGAGTATACTTTCCAGTATACACAGATAATGAAAAAATATTGAGTTAGGCACAAGACAAGAAAAAATATTAATACATAAGTATTTATAGCCTCTTCTTTCTGCCAGCTTTTGTGTTGTAGGCCCTTGTTATATAGAATCTGGAGAATGGGAGTGTAAGGGTGAAAGGAACTCTACTTCCACCTTCTGAAAGTTCAGCAACTTGAGTACATGAAAGAATCTGACAGTAAACAGATTAACAGGAGAAAAAGTGTACAAGTTGATTATGGGTCAGTACACAGGAATCACACCAAGTATGAAACATCAAGAGGGGCCAGATGGTTGAAGTTTAAATACCCTCTTCATAGAAGGGAGGGAAGTGGGGGGATGTAGGCAATTTTAGAGGAAGAGTGAATGATTTTTAGGGGAGACGAGTGGGCCTGAAAAACAGACAGTAAGTAGCTTGGGACAAAGTCTGAGTTATGGGTGTGGTGTCTGCTCTCTCTCCTTTCCTATCAGTTAATCTCTGTTTGATGAGATTTTAGAAGGAGACCCAAGATGTTGCATTAATTCTGGAGGAACTGCTTTTCCTCAGATAAGGGAACCTCAAAGAAAGCCCCTCGCTGTGCTTCTGGAGAAGGCAGAGGGGTAAGAGCCTGGTAGTGGGAGCAGGGCAGAAAGACCTCTTGGTTCTGAGGCTTGCTGCTTTAGTTCAAAATACTCAGCAAGTCAAAGAGCCATACTTTGGGGTATTATTTTCTGAACCCCAACAGGAGAGAGAGAGATGACTCTTGAGGGAGGGGGTAGAAGTGAAAAGCAGGAAATCCATTGTGTTTGACGTAACTTTTAGGAAAGGACAGAGAACTGTTGCCAAATGGGAGAAAAATTAACTTTGAAAGGGTGCCTAGGGATGGGAATGGGGGAACTAAGAGCCTCAAAAAGTTTGGCAAGTTTGGATAGAGAATTCTGTGGACAGGAGGGATGGATTTGCTAAGTGTTTCAGATTTGGAAAATAGAGAAAGGGGATTTTGAAAGTTTGTATGTTACAATCACATTTTAGTTTTTAAATTTTGGAGAAAGACTTGACTAAGCAGTTAAATCATTTTTTAAATACTGGGCTGGTATTTTCTTGAGCAAGACCTTGTACCTGGCCCATAAGATGACTTATCTCCACTTAGCTTACATACATTAAAAAAAAATGTATGAAGACACAACCAAGCTTCACACACATAGGCATATATGTACATAGTTATACATATGTGTATGTTTATGCAGATATAAACTTATATACACACAATACAAATATTTATGTGTAATATTTGTGCATATTCATGTAATTTATACATGAAGTATGTTTATACTTAAATTAATTTGCATGCACAAGCACCAGTTACATCTCATAGTATTGGCACTGCTGTGCAGTATTGTTTAGAACAGGCTTTTCAAGCTAGTTTGCATCTTTCTGAATTTGAAGGAGAAAAGATGCTAACAGTAGAGCACCCGAACGGAGAGGGAGTGGATGTCCCGACAGCAAATTCTCTCAGTGGAATGCGGGGTAACTAATGCTGCTGGCCGGACTTCCTTTCTATAAGTTGAGAAAATTCAGGGGAGAAAAATTTATAATAAAGAAATAATAGTAGCAATAAGCTTCGATATTTCTCAGTTAAGGGTTCAGAATCTAAGGATATAATCTCCAAGTGGGTTGCAGGGCAACCCTGATGTACTAGAACACCTCACATGAGGAATGAACATGTTGCAAATCCTTATGAAGTTATGTTGCTTTTTGTAATATATTGATTACAATATCCAGATTTCTGGATGCATTCAAATGAAATTAGAGGATTGATTCACAACAATATGGCGTGCAATGTTAATGATATAGTTGGGAATTGGAGACGAGTGAAATGCAACAATAAACAGCATTATTTACCCGTTAGGGCAAACTGTACAGTGATGTAGCCAATTTTAATTTGGACTTAATTGTTGAGGGAATTTAGACCTTTTTTTAAAAAAAATTACTGTGGATTCATTTTGTTTTCTATCTATTCTAGATTTAGGATTTAGAGAAAGACAGTGTTCTTTCCTGTATCAAGATCAGCAGCAGGATTAATGGAGAAAATCCAGGTTGTCTCTGTGCAGTCTAGCAGCATCATAAAAGGCAGTTGTTTTGGATTAGTTACTGTTAGGTTTTGTTATAGGAGTCAGAACTCCTCTGTCATGGGGTTAGCAAATTTTCTAGGGCATTGATTCAACTTATGGATAACCATTCTAGGAATTTTCATGGTAAATCCTGGGTGACACTTTAGGAGCTCCCTTGTTAGAATTCTTGAAGGAACAGCTGAACTAAATCAATGAATTTTCTGTGAACTTCAAGATTTCCTAAAAATAATCTTTAAGTATCTGGGGGCCTCTGTGGATGTGGACAGTGCTCCTGGGTAGTTACAAGTTCTCCCATTTGTTCCCAGAAGCTCAGGAGCAGATGTGCTCTTTGAGTTAGTACCAACAGTTTGATTCCAGGGTACCCGTTTAGCTTGTGGCATTTGGCAGGGATTCTCCAGAATCAGACTGGTTTTCAGAGTAGTCAAACTAACTCAATTCAGAGGTAATGACATGTTTCAGGTCTTCAGAACTTTGGCAGCACAACTCAAAACAGGAATTAAGAGTAAACCGAGCAACATTAAAGAGTCTAATAGCAGCACGGTTTAGAGTTCATCAGTTCAAACCTCACAATAGCAGTTAGGGTTCTCTTAACACTTCTGGGGTTCTGGCAGGAGAAATCCAGTGTCTAGCCAAACTCAAGATCAGGTGGTAAGAAATAAGTCCTTGTTGGATAATTCTGTTACTGGCATCCTTTCTTATTTTCTAGTTTTGATTGTTAAGTAGCTCTCTAAATGTTGTCTTTGTATTGGGTAAAGAGCTTGAGTCTCAATGAGTTTGGGTTATATCTAGCTCACATCACAGAGTCTGAAATTCTTGGAGTTTATTTTTTATCAAGTATAAAAATCGGCCTAAAATAGTTCTGTGTAAAAAAAATATCTTGTATAGTACTGGGGGATGAGGTGAGAAATGTGCCTTAAGTTAGTAGGCATTTATGTAGTCCATCTACATCATGGACTGGAGGATTGAATTTTCTAGTAGCAATTTAAAAGAGAGAGCAGTAGACATAGTTGTAGACATTTCAGTGGTGGAACTTCAAGGTAGAAATATTGCCATGGAAACAAAGATTTGAGTAGGAGTAAGAAGAGGAGTTACAAAAGGAGGAATATTTGGGGAAAAAAAGAAAAAGTATGTTTTAAGTTTTACTTATAATTGTGTTTGCCAAGTCTGCATTCCCTTTTGAGCTGGTTCCTTGGTTCTTTTCACTTAGTTTTGTGAGTGTGGGCAGGAAAATACATCTCTCTCTCTCTCTCTGTATACATAGATATGTGTGTGTGTATATGGTGTGTGTGTGTGTAGATGTTGGTGTATATATTTGTTTGTATATATGTGTACGTGTGTATATAACCAGACTAAGCATTTAAAGACTACCCCTTAGCTAGACTAAGCTTTTTAACTAGATTAAGCATTTAATGACCTAAAGGTCAGGAATTTTTTTTTTTTCATTTCTCACTGTGTCTTCACAGTAGAAAAGCCCAACAAATATTGTTTGTTTAGAATTTTTTACTTAGTTTGATTTTTAAAATGCCTTCTGAATACCTATTATGTACAAGACATTGGCCTAGATGCTGTGGGGTCACCAAATACATAATCTGTAATCTCCAATACAAAGAGTTTACACTCAAAGCAGGATACTTGTAGCAGGAATAAAAATATTAGCTAGTGTTTGTTTATTGCCTGTTTGCCAGATTTAGTATTTCATGTATTTAATTCTTCTGACAAACTTATGAGGTTAACTATTACTATCTTTCTCTTCCTTGAAGAAACTGAGTCTTAAGAATGATCTGCCAGTCAGGGTGTTAACTACAAATAAATGGTAGAGTCCAACTTGGTACATAGTATAAACTAAAAGCTGGGCTCTTAAATATACTTCTATGTTGCCATCATATATGTATGTCATAAGCAGTATGGGCGGGTACAAAAACATAGGTATTTAAAAATAATAGATTTCTAAGCATAGGGTGATTATATCTGATTTACAAGGTGTAGAAGGGCTCCAAGGTGGTGACCACTGATCTAGGCATTGGAAAGGTTAGTGTAAATATGAGAGGAATCACTCTAGGCAGAGGGGGTAGTACCAGGAAAGGTGTTGAGATTTATTAGTATAGTAAGTGCCTGTCTCCTAGTACAAATGCTATGTATTGAGTTTTTTATAGCATTTATAAAGTAATCATTTTTGTAGCAGATAAAATGGACACTAAGAAAATGGAATGTTTCCTTTTAAGGCAGGGCCAATCAGACACTTGGTATATAATCCATGCTGAACCTTGGATAGTGAATTTTTGGTGATGCTCGTCCAAATTTGGACAGTAGCTGCAAAGTTTGATTTAAAGAGATGGCCATTCTGTGACCTAGTTGAGCACAAGAGTGGCCTACGGAATATTAGTGTGCATGTCCCTACCTTCAAAATAACCGCTGACACCATTTACTGCTTTGAATATGTTTTTTACCTGTTAATTGGGGACAGATGAAGTTAACAAATAAGGACAATTATATAACTACAGGAGCTCAAAGTCAGTCCTTGCACTTACAGTGTAGAAGATGCAGACATCCCAATTCCTCATCTCCCATTTCTTTGTTAAATATTAATATATTAATTTATGTGACTACAGTCTGTCACTAAAGCTTCTACCTTCTCACTCCATACATCAAACCTAAATGATCATACTTAAGCCCTCACTGCAAAGTAACTTACAGACTCTGGCTAATTCATCATAACATTTCTCAGATGGTTCTTACTTAAATATTATGATTGCTGTTTTACAGGCAGAGAATAGGAGGCAAAGACATTGACAGTGTTTATTTATATTGGCTATATAAAGCATTGTACCAAAAGTGCTACATTCAACATAATGACATTAATTTCATTCAGTTTTTTACTTTTGAGGATTCTGGGGTGTTGTGGGGTAGATACTTGCAGAAGAAATAACCTCGTGGCTCCTCTGCTATAGTGAGGCAGAGATATTTACTAGATGTTTGATAGCTCTGGTTCTTGTGCTCTATCCCAGTTCTGGAATTCAATAAAGCTGTATCTTTTAATTAATTGTTATTTCTATGAATAACTATTCAAAGTGTCAGCGATTATGTAAAATTATTAACACTTTAAAGCTGTGTGTGTGTGTGTGTGTGCGTGTGCGTGTGTGTGTGTGTGTGTGTGTGTGTGTGTGTAAGTATTAGCTCTTCCCCAAGTTGGAGTACTGTTTATTTGCCTGTTTCATACAGGATTTATGCTTTTTAATTATGAAAGCCAAATTATTCCAATCCTCTAAAAATCTATGCAAGATCAATAAGAACAGAACAGATAAAATCATAAAACTCCATGTTTTTGGCATGAGAGGAAGACAGAGAACACTACAAATTTTAAACTCTCCATAAGTAGAAAGGTAAACACTAACTTCTGGAAAAGAGATTTCTCAAGTTTCCTTCTCAAGTCTTTGTGGAGAGCTGAGTTTTTAGAAAAATTGCATGGAAAAGAGAAGATGTAATTGAGCTGAAATCCACCATCAAGAGAGAAAGTCAATCCTAAATTCAAAAATACTGAAAAAGGCCAGGCGCCGTGGCTCACGCCTGTAATCCCAGCACTTTAGGAGGCCAAGACGGGTGGATCACGAGGTCAGGAGATCAAGACCATCCTGGCTAACACGGCGAAACCTAGTCTCTACTAAAAAAAAAAAAAAAAAAAAAAAATACAAAAAAATTAGCTGGGCGTGGTGGCAGGTGCCTGTAGTCCCAGCTACTTGGGAGGCTGAGGCAGGAGAATGGCATGAACCTGGGAGGTGGAGCTTGCAGTGAGCCAAGATCGTGCCACTGCACTCCAGCCTGGGCGACAGAGCGAGACTCCATCTCAAAAAAAAAAAGAAACAAAACTGAAAAAGAAGCCTGGGTATATCAGAGCAGCGACTGCAGGGAAAGGGTGTAACGTCTTGTGTGTGGGGCTCAGGCAGGCAGGCAGGCAATCTTGGAAAGGCAACACTTCTACGGAAATGAGGCTGTGGGAGGCTGAATAGTGACCTCTAAAGATATCCATGTCCTAATCTCTGGAACCTGTGCATGTCACCTTATCATCCGCAAAAGAAATTTTTCAGATGCAATTATGTTGAGGATTTTGAGATAGAGAAATTATCCTGAATTATCTGGGCGGGCCCTAAGTGAAATCCCAAGGGCCTTTGTAAGAGGGAAGCAGGAAAAGATTTGGCTACAGAAGAGAAGACAGTGTGAGGATGGAACAGAAATTGGAGTGACGCAGACAGGAGCCAGGGAATACCAGCAGCCACTGGAAGCTGGGAGAGGCTAAGAATGGATTTTCACCTGGATCCTACAGAGAGAGCCAGCCCTGCAGATGCCTCCCTGCTAGCCCCAGAAGACTTATTTTGGACTTCAGGCTTCCAGAATTAAAATAGGATAAGTTTCTGTTGTTTTAAGCCATTCCATTTGTGGTAATTTGTTATATAAGCATTAGGAAACTAATACAGAATGTAAAATGGAAAACTTACTTTTGGGAATTCTTCAATGAAAGCAAAAACGAGCAAGAGGGGAAATGTAGGATCCCAAAAGGAAAAAAAAAGATGAAAACATAAATGGAAAACACATAGTTCCCCTGCCCATCACCCCCCACCCAGACCATTTACTAAAGAAACTATATTTTTGCTAACGTAACAGATGAGAGCTCTCTTGAAGGAAGAGACTGTGCTAGAATAGCCCCGTGTGCTGTCTCTTGCATTTTTTCCTGTTGAAGAATGATTGTGGGGAAGAAGGTCCTTCACAGAGGCGTTCTCCAACCTTGTTTAAATTTGCTTCACCCGTGCAACTCATACTGATTATCAAAAGCCAGCCAGAGAATTTGTTTTTTTCTGTAACTTTATAGATGTTTGTTTCTTAATGAAAAAAAAGTTATTTGGCTCTCTCCACATCTATTTGAGTGCCTGCTATGTGTACTATTCTCAGAACAGTCAAGGTAGGAGTTAGTGAAAATGCCTCACTTTGGTGAAATTCTTGGGGCTTTAATAAGCACAACCACCCCCTGCTGATGAACGCCTGCAGCAAGCCTAGGGTCCCAGGGGACGAGTGGGTTGGTCTTCTCATGTCTGCCCAGACTCACAGCAGAGTGAGCCACATAGGGAGAGTGGGTCTCTCAGAGGTGGTAAACCCGGGTGCCAGAGAAGGACCTGGAAAAGGAAATTCAAGGGATCAGGAGCAGATATCAGAAATAAGTCAGAAAATAGGGTTTAAGGTAGGTCAGAGCAAAGTGGTTTGGGGTATAGGATGGAAGGCAAAGGTGCCAGGGAACATTTATTGATGTTGGCAGGAATAAGCCAGTCAGCTTAAAGACTCAGAGCTGGGCTGGCCAGCGACCAGCAAAGATTAAAAATAAATTTGTTTAATTCATGGATATGCAGTATAAATGATTTCTTATAAAACAGTTGACTCTGCTCCTCCTTTTTAAAAAAAACTTTTCTTTTAATAGAAAAATGTTTATAAAGCTGTTCCAGATGCAATTATAATATGTTTGTATCACCATGTTTAGAAATTTGGCCCATGCTACTTGTACAGTTTTAAAAGTGTTATACTTCAAATAATAAAAGCTGAAATAAAAATATAATGAAGGTGATATTAATTTATATTTAAAAAGTGCTTTCTAAAAATAAAAATCTTTTTATTTTAAAGGTATTAAAAGGTTTCTGTCTTTTTGCCAAGTTTAAATTTGTTACTTTGGTCATTGCCAACATGAAAGCTTTATTTTATTTATTAGCCCATCCAGTCCAGTTCTCCCTTTCTCACTATGTGAGAGGAGCAGTATACTCTGTGAGTAACAGAGGACTGAGGAGTCTCTTGGTCATTGTATTGGTAGGAAGGAAAGAGTTTTCTTATTCATGCTTAGATCCACTAAATGCTTCTCCTTCTGGCCTTGTCACACACCATCAAGCTGAATGAAATGTGCACTGTGATTTACAGTTGATGGTTAAAATTATGGCAAACCCGAGGACTAGCCCTCGTTCCTGTAGCTGGACTGTGGCTCCCAAGTGCTGCATCAGCTGGTTTTTGCTAGATTTACATGTGGAAGGATTTTCTCCAAGGAAGGAAACCCTAAAATGACTTGCTGACTACCAAACTGATGACTAAGTGACGTGTAAGGAGAGGCGAGACTAGACTATGGGAAGAAGAAAGTGTGAAAATGCAAAACAAAAGTAGTCTATGCAACAAACACTGTGTGCCTGATAGTGAGCTCAGTCCTGAGGGTACAGTGATGAGAAACAGAAACACTGTGCCTCAGGAGCTAGTGTTCTAGTGGGGAAGACAGATACGTGTCGGAGAAATGTGTGCCCTGCTTGGGGAAAACAGCTCAGCACAGTGCTCATCTTGGCCAGAAATAAGGGAAGGTTTCTTGGAGAAGGTAACGCATGAGATAAGTTATGAAAGATAATAACATGGAGAAGTAGGGGAAGGATATGAGAGAGAGAGAGAGGGAGAAGCCAGAGGATGAAGCCTAAAGCTTCATGCTGTGAGTGAGGGGAGAAGAAGGAGCTTAATATTGTAGAAGGAATGTAAAACCTGAAAAGAGATAAAAAGCCAAGTTGTTGCTTAAAGAGTTAACAAAGAACTCTGGTGTGTGAGTTAGCCTATGTATAAGCTTCCTAAGAGCTGCCTTAACAAATGACCACAAACGTGGTGTCTTAAAGGAACAGAAATTTATTCTTTCACAGTTCTGAAGGCTGGAAGTCCACAGTTATCATGTCAACAGGGACATGGGCTCTCTGAAACCTGTAGGAGAGAAGCTTCCATGCCTCTTCTAGCTTCTGGTGTTCGCCAGCAATTTTTGGTGTCCCTTAGTTTGTAGATGTGTCACTCCAATCTCTGTCTCTGCTTCTCCTTGTGTGTCTCTGTGTGTTTCTTCTCCTGTTCTTATAAGGACACCTGTCTTATTGGATTCAGGGCCCACCGTCTTCCAGTATGACCTCTTCTTAACTAATTACCTTTGCAATGACCTTATTCCAAATAAAATCACATTCAGAGGTACTGAGGGTTAGGACTTCAACATATCATTTTGGAGAACACAATTCAACCCAAAACAGTATCCACAAAAGAGTGTTTAAGTTTATGTTTTTCCCTGGGAGTTGCTTAAAGGAAGGCCACACAGTGGGAACCCACACCTGTGGGCTGATAAACTGTGGTGATTTTTTTAATGGCCTATTGAAGAAGAAAAGGCAAACTTGAACATAATGAACTGAGAAAAAGAACACTAAATATTTATAGCTCTAGTAGCCCTCATTAAATAAACAATGGGCAGCATTTTCCTGAGAAGCTGTGTGGAAACTATTTTAGAAACTACCTTTTGGGAGTTATTGTGAAGGAGAAGTCAGTAGTTAAACCATCAGCAATGTCCTTATTGCAACAAAACAAAAAAAGCAAGCCCTGGACACATCCTATTCTAAATCATTGTATCCTACAGAAACATAAAAGGAACAGAAACACGAGCTGATGGCAGAGTCTCTGGCCTACATGACAGAGTTTTATTGAAAAGGTTATATGGTATTTGCTTTGGAATAAAGACGTAGAATGAAGGCACAAAGACAAAATCCATTTCCATAATTCAGTACATAAAGAATGCAACTTTTAGTTTGTACTGTCTTATTATCTGAACATTTTTCTTATTTCTATAACTTCTGACATAGTGTTTATTACATTCTAGGTACTCTTCAAAAATCTGTAATTCTTCAGTTAGAATAGGGAAATAAATACTCTCAAGTTCATAGAAATTCACTGCATATGCATTTATTCAAGAACCTTTCTGTGAACTTCTAAACCACTGTTCTGTTTCTCTGTCCCTGACTGTAGGAATGTGTCTGGCTGTTAATCTGTTAATCTACAGAGTACATGGGCAGTACTGAAGCCATGAATTTTGCTAAATAGCATCTTCAAAGATTATCCTGCATATCCACTAAATTTATAGTGTTAGACTTGGGTCTTTCTTTGTCATTTTATATTGATTTTCTGAACCAAAGTTGAAATAGCTTCCTAATGAAACTTTTTAATTTTAATAGCCATGAAATTTGAATAAATATTTTCATTCATCTAACACCATACCTTATGCTCTTGCCTCTTATTAACTATTTATTTTTATTCATTTATTTTAAAAATTTTATTAATATTTTTGACAAATAATTGTATACATTTATGGGGCCCAGTGAGATGTCCTGATGTGCACACAGTATAGAATGACTAAGTCAAACTAATATATCAATCACCTAGCTTATCTTTTTTCATGGTAAAAATTTGATAATAAATCTCTTAGTCTGTTTTTTGTTGCTTCATTTATAAAGAAAAGGAATTTATTTATTACAGTTTTGGAGGCTGAGAAGTCCAAGGTCAAGGGGCCACATCTGTTGAGGGCTTTCTTGCTGGTGGGGACTTTCTGCAGAGTTCCCAGGTGACATAGAGTGTTACATGGTGAAGGGGCTGAGTTTGCTAGCTCATGTGTCTCTTCCTCTTCTAATGAAGCTACCAGTTTCACTTCCATGATAACCCATTAATAACTCATTAATTATTCAATTAATCTATGAATGGATTAACCCATTCCACTTCATAAAGCCCTTACCTCTCAATACAGCCACATTGGGCATTAAATTTCAACATGAGTTTTGGAGGGGACAAATATTCAAACCATAGCACCCCTGGTTATTTGGTAATATTCAGTGCATTATTATTAATGATTGTCAGCCTGTTGTGCCATAGATCTCAAAACCTATTCCTGTTATCTAAAACTTTGTATCCTATGATAACAACCATTCTCTCTCTCCTACCCCTCTTAACTATTTATCTTATAAAGTTTTTTATTTAAGGGTCAAGAGTTTGAATTCATTGCTATATAGTTCACAATTTCCACTACCTAAAAATGTTGTGGCTAAGATTCAAGTTGCTTTAATAAAGACAAATTGCAGAACAATCTGTAGTTTAAGATTATTATATAGTGTTACATTTATGACTTGATTACAAAATTTTGCCAAATATATTTAGGCATTTGAGTACTAGAACACGTGAGTTCTAAAAGCAGGATTAAGCCTGCTTTTAGTTCTATCAAATATTACACCTTCAAAATAGGGCAAAGATGTGACTTTCAAACACTACAGAATTTTAAAATTTCCAAACTTTTTCTGGGGAAAATAATATTAAATAGATTGTGTTAATTTGGAGCAAATATGAATATTTCTGAAAAAATAAAGCCTGCTCAGAAGGTGGGCCAGTGGAGGAGACTTAGTACAAATGAAGAATCAAAAGGCTTGGAATTTATTTCCAGCTATACATTTAACTTGCTGTAATCTCTATGAGCTCCTGCATATCAATTTATCAATGAGGCTAATAATTCTGTTCTGCTCACATTGCTGAGCCATTAAATGTGTCCAAAAAAAATAACGTTTGAAAGTATAAAATTAGAAAATTTATAAATTATATAGAAATGTACACGTACAGGGTGATTATATACAAAATAACCAAATTGAGAGGATTCTTGGAATAGTAGATCAAGAAAAACCAAAGAATTTAAAGATGTTTCCCTTAAGCTATTTGGACAAAATGGAAAAGTGTGGACTGAATGAAGTTAACACCAAGAAGATTAATAGATATTTAAATGCGCCTATAAAAATTTTGTTTTTAAACAAACGTAAGTTTGTTGGGACCTAGTGGATGCCTGGTATATGTAGATTGATGAATGGCTGTCTGGATATCACAGTTATTAAAATTCCCTTGACTTTGTGCTGGAAATGCTATGTCTGTCCTGTGAGGGCAACATACTTTATTCTGAAAATGAGCAATCTGTTTAGGTATATGTGGCCAGGATGGTGAGGGATTTGAAAATCATCCCATATTAAGCATCATTGAAGTAACAAAAAGCATTTAGTCCACAGAGGAACAGGCATATATGTGAAAAGACAACAGATTTTCAGATTTTTGAAAGATTTATTGTTGATGTTGTATGCTTCATCATGTGTACTTCAGGAGGCAGAGTTAGTACAAACTTTGGAAGTTATACGGAGGCAAAACTGGAATATATGAGGAAGCAAAAACTTATTAACTAGTCAAATTGTTTGAAAAATGAGGTCCTCTTTCTGACAAGTGCTTTATGCTCGGCCACTGGTAGTATGGAAACGGAACCTAGTTGAAGACTTTGCAAATTTTACTTTGGATACCTTGGGCTGGGAGGGTTAGAAGGTGATCTTTTAGGTGCACCTTCAAAAGATTTTGTAATTATCTGAAAGATCTTATGTATAAATCTTGCATCTGTTGATCAGCAAGTACGTATTGTTGTCCATTTTCTCCTGTACCGTGAGCACTACTGGAGAAGGGCGATCTCTGTATGGTCTTTATACTCTGGCCATTGCCACAATGCCAACTGTGCATTACGTAACTGTACCTCGTGTTGTCATTCATTGATTTGTTCATTCATCAAATATTTTATTGTGCTTCTACCATGTACTGGGCACTGTTTTAGGGAGTAGGGATAAAATAGACAATCATGAACTTATTTCTTTGAGGAGTGGGGCAGATAGCATAGAGATCAACAACTAAATATCAGTGGTGAGTGCTGTAAAGAAAAATGAAAACCGGCCAGGCGCGGTAGCTCACGCCTGTAATCCCAGCACTTTGGGAGGCCTAGGCGGGCAGATCACCTGAGGTCAGGAGTTCAATACAAGCCTGGCCAATATGGTGAAGCCCTGTCTCTACGAAAATACAAATATTAACCGGGCATGATGGTGGGTGCCTGTAATCCCAGCTACTCTGAAGGCTGAGGTGGGAGAATCGCTTGAACCCAGGAGGTGGAGGTTGCAGTGAGCCGAGATCATGCCATCACACTCCAGCCTGGGCAACGGAGCGAAACTCCATCTCAAAAAAAAACAAAAGAAAAAAAGAAAATGAAAACCTTTAGGAGGGTTAAAGATTAATCAGAAAGGTTAATTTTTTTGTTTGTTTGTTTTTTTTTTTTGAGACAGAGTCTCGCTCTGTCACCCAGGCTGGAGTGCAGTGGTTCAGTCTCGGCTCACTGCAACCTCCACCTCCTGGGTTCAAGCGATTCTCCCGCCTCAGCCTCCCGAGTAGCTTGGGACTACAGGCACGCACTACCATGCCCAGCTAATTTTTGTATTTTTAGTAGAAACAGGGTTTCACCGTGTTAGCCAGGATGGTCTCGATCTCCTGAACTCGTGATCCACCCACCTCGGCCTCCCAGAGTGCTGGGATTACAGGCCTGAGTCACTGCGCCTGGCCGGAAGCATTAATATTTTAATTAGATGCTCAGGCCTATTTCTAATAGGTAGACATTGAACCAAGACCTGAAAGATGCAGTAGACTAAGTCAGGCAGTTAATCTAGACTATTCTCATTCCAGGCAAGTGGGCAGCCAGTACAAAGACCTGAAGGAGGAGTGTGTTTCTGTGTTTGAGGAATAATAAAAAGGCATTGTGTCTGAGGCAGAAAAGCCAGGGGAAGAGATGTGGGAGATGATGTGGCCAGAGAGGTTGGTGTTTGCTAGAAGGAAGGGAGAGGGTCAATCATGTGGGTCGTTGTAATGACTTAGGCTTTCACTGTGAGGGGAAGCCTTGAATGCAGAGATCATGTTCAGAGGGGATAACAGAAGTGTCGAAAGACCAGTGAAGTATCAATTAAAATGAGCCCTGCACTGACATTGTGGAACCAGATGCCAGGATGAACTGTGCCATCTAACACCTGGATGACCTTCTTCAAGTTACTTAACTACTCTGGGTCTTGATTAATTTTGAATTTGGGGACTGAAATATTAATAGGTGGCCTATAAGGATCTTTCATGTTTTTTGAATTTCTTAATTAAGTATCATTTTGTGTTAAGCTTAGAAGACTGAGAGCTGAGGAGAGTGGACAAATAAATGTTGGAATTAGGAAAGTTACATGAAGGAAAGTGGGTCTGAGCTGGGTTTTGAAAGTAGGCAGAATTTAGATCAGTAGAGCAAAGAGGATAGGATAGTCTAAATGTGGAGAATGCTGTATGAATGGAGGCAGAATATGTATTGAACATGAGGAACCATCAAGAGGCCGGCTCAGTGAGGGAAGAAGGGGGCTTCTGGAGGCACCATAGGTAGACATAAGACATTAACAGATTATTGACCAACAGGCAGGGGAGGTTAATATGCTCCAATGAATAAAGAGCCATCATATATTTTATAATGGAGACTAACAGGTTGATGTTGCTGAGAAAATAATATGGACTTTGCATTCAATGATGTATCTTTTCACAACCATATCTTTGATAAACACAATTTGGGTTATACTGGCAGGGATTAAGTAGTGGAAAATCTCTTAGAAGAAATGTGCTTCTACTGTCCCCCTTACCAAAATAGAACAGATGAGCCCTAATCAGAGCTGGTAACTGTAATGGTGATTGCTCTGAGGACCAATGTATATAAACATCACTATTTGAATACCTAGATTTGGGCAAGTAATAAGGAGGAAAGTTTTGAACCTGAGATACCCAGATTAAAGTAGGACCTTTTGAGATGGGCTAAACAGTTTTCAAGTCAGTAGCACCCTGACTTTCAGAAGAAGCAGACAGAAATCCCCTCGCTAGAATCCATATTGTATGTTTCCAGGATTTTAACAGACTAAGATCAGGCAGGTCACAATCATTTTTCACCAACTTGATGAGGAGGTAGGACATTATATGTGAGAATTAGGCAAAGCAATGAAACTGAGAATTTAAACACTTAAGGAGTTACAGATATTGGAGTTATTAAACATAGAAGATAGAGTGGCTGTATGTACTTATTTAAAGAAATAAAAGATGAACCACAAAAGTGAGCAAGTAATGAAAAACTGTTGACAGTAATCAGGAAGATCTGAACAAGAACCACATGGAACCTCTAAAAATGGGAAATATTGTAGAAATAAAAAAATGGAATAGATTAAGAGGCAGGTGAGTCACAGCTAAAGAGAATTAGTAAACTGGAAAATATATGTAAGAATTACCCAGAAGGCAGCACACAAAGGAAAATGGAAATGTAAAATGATAGATTGTATTAACAGACTTCCCACAGGAGAAAAAGGAGAGTCAATATTTGAAAGCATATTGTCTAAGAATTTTATGAACTAATAAAACATGCAAATTCCAAGATTCAGGTTGTACAAAGTATCCCAAGTAGGATAAACAAAAATATGAATATTAGAGTATCTGTCAAAAAATCTATTTTAGTATTTTTTTCCTTTTAGAGCATTTGGGGGACTAAAAAAATTGGAGTTGGTGACATCAGCTAAGAGTTGGTCACAATCGTTGTGGTGAGAGTTGATGACTTGGATGAATGATACAGGAGTAATGATGAAAAGGCAATCAATACACATATTAAACCAAACTCCAGTGTAATCAAATGAATGATCTGATATTAAGGAAAAGAAATCAAACAGCCATTTGCATTCTAGGTTTTTATGATTACAACACAGGCATGGAGAAGAGTTGGGAAGGTGAAATGAAGTAATTTGAGGAAAAGATATCTGTTTGGTTTTAGATAGGTTAATTAAGTTTGGAGGAATAATAGCATTTTGAAATGAAACTTTCAAGTAGAGAAGCCATCCTCATGAACATTTAAAAACTTCTGATGGATGTTTCATGTGAAAAAAAAATGTATTGCACATTAACAAAATTTTATTATATATCCAGAGTTAAAGGATTATTTTCAGTGCAGTATTTCACCATGTTATCTGCTTTTATGTGTGTACTGCAATGATATAAGGGGAACAATACAGTACAAATCCAGATTACTGAAGTTACTAAATTAATTCAAGTTACTAAAGTAATTGGGAATTAAATTCTGGAATTGATTTTTTTTAAAACGTAAATTAACAATGGCAAGAGAACAAGAAATAATGTTCATGGAGATTCTTGGACTTAGGTTAAGATATGTTGGGTTCACTCTGAATTGTGTATTTGTAAAGTTATTGTACTATTACTTGCCTAGGTGATTAATTTAGCAGTGATTATCCATGATGATATCATATTTCAACAGAGCCCCATGAACATAAAAAAGGTTAGCGCTGTCTCAGATTTTAGCTTGGCAGGAAAGATTAAAAGCCTTTTACAAGTAAAACAATAATTTGAAAGTTATAGGTGACTGAATAACAGAGAAGCAATGGTAAACTGCAGGTTAAATTTGAGTAATGAATAGGTCCTTCTAAAGGGGAAAAATCATCTTGAATAGAATACCTCTAAAATCATATTTAATTTTTTGGCTTATAATATTGCATGAGATTAAGTATATGTTAAAAACAGGCTTTGAACTCTTGTGTAATAGGTCTTTATACAGCCATGAAAACAAAACAAACATGCAAATTAAATAGAATCAACACTTCAGAAAGCTATAAAATTGAAATTACCATGACATCTGTTTTAGATGATTTTTTTTTTTTTTGCTTAGGATAAGTTGCTGTCAACCACTGACTGTTAAAGCACAGGATTTTTTAGTCTGACAAGCCTGGTATTCTGAGATCAGTGTATTCTTGCTACTTTCCTCTGTTTGAATTACTAGGAAACCACCATTATGGCTCCCAGTGCTGTCATTTGGCCTTTGCTGAACTACACGCATCACTGTTAAGTCTGCCTCCATCACTTTCCTGCTAAACCAACCCTGGGAGTTACAGTTGTAACTTAGCATGTTGCTCGTACAATGGTAATAAACTCAGACATTGAAATCACATGATAGTCTCGTAATAAAATGATCCAGAATATAGTTATGCTAATTTTAAAGATTATCACTTAAATGAATGACAGATTTTCCTAGAGATAGCTAACATTTCTGATAATACATTCCTTGGCCTTTTTGGACCCAAATTTTATGGTGAGCTGCTGGAGGCAAAGTTAAATGAACTGAATTAGTAAAAAAAAAAAAAAAAAAAAAAAGGAAAGAAAGAAAACATGAGAAACTGTCTTTCCATCTCTTAGTGAAGTAGGTAAATAAGAAATAGCACATTATTCTCTCTTCTCCAATGAAAATTGCATTTACGATAGATTAAACCATCCAAGGAACAGAACTTAAAAGATTTTTGGGCAATGATTGTTACATGAATCAACCTATACATCCCAGAAAACAAATTTGTTGCACTTGTGCTAGGACGTGTCGGGTAGTGGATTTTATTAGGGGATCCTTAATAGCTATAATTAACAGGTAAATCCTTTAAATGTGACTTTTTAAAATCTGAAAGTCACGATTGCCTATTTCTGAGCTGTTATATCTCCATTGCTAGCCTTGCTTTCCAGAGGTTTGCCCAAAGGTTGTTGATTGCCCATGTTGTATTTGTCTTTAAAAATGTCTGATTATGGTCATCCTTGATGCCAACTGCTGCCTCATGTTCACTAGTGCAGCAGTCATCACCTTTTTTGGCACCAGGGCCCAGTTTTATGGAAGAAATTTTTCCGAGAATGGAACCAAAGGTGTGGGAGTGGAAGATGGTTTCAGGATGAAACTATTCCACCTCACATCATCGGAAGGACCATGCAACCTAGATCCCTCACATGCACAGTTACAGTAGGGCTCCCGCTCCTATGAGAATCCAGTGCCACAGCTGAGCTGGCAGGTGGTGGAGCTCAGGCAGAAAGGCTCACTGGCCCACTACTCGCCTCCTGCTGTGCGACGAGGTTCCTAACAGGCCATGGGCCATTGGGGACCCCTGCAGTATTGTATCTTTAGCTTGATTCTGTTGTAGATTGAGTTCAAGAGTAGTTGAAGATTGTGATACTTCTAGGGCATGAACCTTCCCACACACCCAATTGTTAAAATTTAGGCGATCTACCTTTTGAGAATTGTATGACTTGATTTGTGAATAAACATTTACCAGTAAGTATACAATTCTATTCTTGAATTCGGCTTTAGGTACAAATCCTACTAAATTTCATAGTAAAATGAATATCCTGAAAAGATAGCCAGGTTTTTGTCTTTTTAATATATTTCCAAATATTATATCAAATTTGTCATTCCCTTTTATTTCCCTTGTACTGTTTTACTTACAGCCTTATGTGTTTGTGGAATGCCATAATTAATAAGACTTTAGACTCGGTGGTTAATTTTAGTGTTTATTGCCCATCTCTTGATATGAAGATCACTTCATCACTATCACAGCATGTTCTGGCACACACAGATGCCACACAGACAACAGACCTTTAAAAAAAACCAGCATTGCTTAAAAAATTAATGTATCAGTTAGACACCAGCCAAGTGAGAAGATATCTTTTGTTAGATCATATTACATGAAAACTTGGGGTAACCCAGATGAAAAAATATAATGTCTTGATTTGTGGGCCAACATTTTTGTCAAAATAATTATAAAGATAATTTATCAGTGCCACATACAGGAGAACTGATCTGAATAAACCAGCTGTGTCCTATTAGATAAACTAATGGAGAATATACAGATAGATGTCTCAGCAGTTCTCCAAAAGAAATGGCATTAACCAAATAACTCAGGGTCATGTTGCTGGACAGAATTTTTTTTAGGTTTCTCCTTGTGTTAAACTTTCAGCAATCCTAGTTACAATCATCTTATTGAAAGTAACACGGAACTTTAAATCATTGCATTGAAAGTCACCTCAGTGAGTTACCTCATTGAAAGTGAAGTGGGATATTTAGTACTTATACAATTAGGGATTATCTTTGAAAATTAAAAGAATAGAGGGAACATTAAAGATTTGTGATTTAACAGTGAATTATTACTGTGTGCTGAGAAAGTTTGTCTAAAGAACACTTTAGAATGTTTTGTGTAAGTGCGACCATTCTCCTAAATAAAGTAACACCTAAAGTCATGCCGTAATGCAGTTCTGGAAAGAGCTATTGAATTAGAATCATTTTCACTTCCTGGCAGCCCAGTAAGCACGTCTGTGAACTTGGGTAAGTCACTTAATCTTCCTAAGCTTGGTATCCGCTTCTATAAAAATGGAAATGATATTCTAATGCCACTTCCTCCCATGATGGTTTTTAAAAAATAGTTGAGATAACCTATGTCAAAAGGCCAATTGCAATGTCTGGCATTTTTGAATTAAACAAATTAGGTGTGTAAAATGACTGAGAAATATAATGCCTGCCTCAAAATAGTTGAGCATTAAAACATTTTTTATACTCTCCTGTACAGTTTCTGAATCTCTTACCCTTCTAAAACTGTTCTTCAGTCTTTCTGTCCTTACTTAATCTCTGACACACCGTATGTATTTTGGGATAATAAAAGTCCAAGTAATTACACTTTTGTTCTTTTCCTTTTTAAATTATCTTTATGCATGTTAAGATTTTCTGTTTAAATGGCCTTTAAAATCAGCACATTAAACTATAAGCATTATAGGTGAATCAGTTCTATTTTGTACCTATAGTCTCAAACTGTATAATATTTCCACTAAAAGTATTTATGGCTATGTAAAATGAATTTGTAGTTTTAAGCCATTTGTATGCTTCAGGGAAGTTCATCTGATTCTTTTAAAAACAACCTTTAAGATAATCATAAAACAGGATTACAGTCCCTTAGATCCCTACCCTCAATTAATGACTCTCAAATTACATTCATGTTTGGGTTGATATAATGAGATTTATTTTCCTGTTTTACAACTGTGGATGATACCTTTACTTTAGAAAGCCACTGACCTCCGGAGCTTAGAATGGAGAGAAGGAACATAGAGAATTCTTTGCTGATCTTTATTGCTTTGCTGCATTAGGGAAGTTTTCAGTTGAGCCAAGGGAGCAAGAACCTATTAGTCAGGGGCTGCTGTCACCAGGAAGATTTGTGTGCTCCATTTTGGGGATTTTTTTTTTTAGAATGAAGGACCACAATCATTTATAACCATCAGGACAGAGTGAGCAATCCTATAATTTGGGCTAATATATACCTCCAATCTAGCCCAACACACATACACACACACCCTTAATAGGAGGCTAATGTAAAGATAATGTTTAGTGCTGAGGACAAGGTGGACTGAAGATATTTCTATGGCAACAAAAAGGCCCCTCCAGACATCTGTGTTCTAAAGTTGATGCTGTTTATTAGAGACTGCCTGTTCTACAGACTGTAATTATCATTAGGTAGAAAAAGGTTGAATGTGGGTGGACTACTTGGCTGAAGCTTTCTGACTGATTTGTTTAGCCCAGCTTTGAAGTAAATTTCAAAGGAATATTAGGAACCTGACATTGTGCTACTTGTCTCTGTAGGTGAAGTCGTAGCTAATTGTAGGATGTTTGCTGAATGTGGATGAAGTTTTTGAACAAACAACATAAACAGCAACACAAAAACACAATTAAGAGTGACCCATGTATGTTAAATGAGTTTAGTGTATATGCACTGACTGTTTACAGAGGTCTATTTCTCTTAAAGAAAAAGACACTCCTATCAAATCGTCTTGAAATTAAGTTACCCTGGAAGTGGTTTCCAAAGGCTAACAGTCTATGATTCAGAATTTATCTTCTGGTTTTAAAACTAGAACTCAGAACTTTCAAGATTTTTCTTGGTGTAAAATTTAAAGCAGACGGGCCCACAAAAATGTAACCCTGATGAGAATGTGTGTGGAGGAGTATATTGTTTTCCTCCATTTATAGTCATGAGGAATACATCTAGTGAGCCAATACAGTGTTATTGTTAAAGGAAAAACATGTAGACATTTGACTAATTTTGGCAGCAGAATGAATTCACTTTCTTTCAAGAATGCAATTTCAATTGTGGTGTTGGAGAAACAATTTTTTTACTATGCACGATTAGTTTTTTTTTTTAAATGAGAGAATACAGGAGTTTCACAGTTATTCTATGTACTTAATGGGATTTTTCATGAGAAATAATGAAATTGCATATTTGGAAACCATGTAATCATTCCATAATATGTAGAGTCCTGAATAAATTGATTTCACTGATGTTTAAAATTATGCTATAATGTACTGAAAAAATGTATTAAAAGATTCAGGATGTATTCTCATGTTTTATGGACACCTGTTTTGTGACTGCTAGTTATTGTGACTAGCAATTAATAAATTTATTTTAAAGGAAGTAGTTTGCAACAAAATGATTTTGTATATTGAGTATTATGAAATGGCTTAAATGAATTTTCTCTTTAACATGTGGAGGTCTAATTAGATACCAACTCTCATCTACTCTAGCAAATCATTGTCTTCCTTGGATAATTTAATTTTCTTGTATGCTAAATCCCTTATGACGACCGGATCTCCAGTCAGATTATTGAATAACCTGAACTTGCTAAAGTATTAATATAAACGTGAAGTGATTTTATACTTTTCATGAGTCTGATAGGGCTATCTTCCTTTTCTTTATTGACATCTCAAGTATTTCCTATAACTTACTAGTGACTTTTGTCTATTTAACGAAAAACTTTCAGTTTAGTTTCACTCTTCAGGTTTGCATTAGGGCTCTCTAAAGAATCAAAACCGATAGGATACAACATATATGAGAGGAGACTTTATTAGGGGAATTGGCTCCTGTGATGATGGAGGCTGTGAAGTCTCATAGTAGGCTGTCTGCAAGCTGGAGAACCAGGTAAGTTAGTGGTATAACTGTCAGTCCAAGTCCCAAAGCCCAAGAACCAGGGAATTTGGGGGTTTGGGGTACAAGTTCCAAAGGCCAGAGAACCTGGAGTGCTGATATCTGGGAGCAGGAGAAGAAGGGTGCCCCAGTTTCAGAAGACAGAGCAAATTTACCTTTCCTCTCTCTTTTGGTTCTGTCTGGGCCCTCAGCTGATTGGATGGTGCCTGCCTACATTGGATAAGTGCGGATCTTCCTTCTCAGTCCACTGATTCAAATGTCAGTCTTTCATGGAAACACCCCTATAGCTATACCCAGAAAAATGTTTTTACCAGCTGTCTGCATATTCCTTAAGCCAGTAACCATCACAAAGCCTCATATCCAACTTTAAGCTTTTCCACATAGCTCAGGGGAGGGAATATATATTCTGTTTTTTCAGATTCAGCTTTCTGTTTCTCATCTTGGGGTGTGCTTTTTGGGGTTGAGAGATTATTGTCCTCCAAGTCACTTACTTCCCCTCCTTCCATTAGGTGGAAACAGACGGATATGGGGAGAGAAGGCAGCAATGAGATACACTTCATAGTCTGGTCCGGCTTGGTCTCGTTCTTGCTGCTGGTGGCCTTAGTGATGTGGTGTTTCCCATATAGATCATGCTTGCTTTTATTCCACCTTCTTAGAGGACCTCTTAAAGTAGGGCAGCTGTGTTTGTGTTCAGTCTCCCAGTGGCCATGACTCCAGCCCCCTTCCTGGGGGGTGGCCCCAACTGGGGGGCCTCCTGGGCAGCATCCATTCCCTGATGTCAGACATCTGGTGATGGCATGACTTTTGTTTACCCCATCTTCCTCCACTGTTGCCACCAGAATCACACTTCATTGCCTCTTTCTGCTGCAGTTGCCTGGCATGGCTGGATAACTTTTGTAGGGTACAAGCCAGCTTCCTCTGCAGTGTCCCTTAATCCATGGGACTCTCACACCATTGTAATGCCGTAAGGAGGGAGTGTGGGCTGTGTCCTCACCCGTCCATCCTTCATTACCTGTTGGTCTGTAATTTCTTTTTTCTCATTTTTGGATAAATGGAAGGATAATCAATAAGGAGTATTGTGTAAATGTGTGTCCAGTCAAGGACTGAGATAGTAAGTTACCCTTTCTTGGGCGTACTGTCATTTTTATGAGAGATTCTATTGGGACCTATCCATTTACCTTTGGTTAGGGTAAGCCCCTCCTTGTCCACCTCCTTTCCCCACCCTGTCATCCCAGACAGAGGACACATGACTCCATGATTCACTCTTTTTTCTCTCCAGTTTTTTCATTATGGACTTAATAAGTGGGCCAGGCTTGGATGAAGGTTGTAAGTAGGAGAGCTTTTTTAGCCACATCTTAAAAAGCCCTGAGGGAATTGTCTGGCCCTAGATATTTATGACTGTCATTAAATAGGAAGTGGTTATCTCTGTCTTCAGCTTTGGATTAGTGGGCAAATTTAATAGGAAACATTCTACAAGTATCCTGTAATAAGGTTTTCTTTAAGAAAATGAGAGAGAGAATGTTGTCCTTTGTATCTGAAGATTATTGACCTGATAATCATTGTTTAACATCGGTTAATTACCCTTGAATTTTTTGTTAGGAGTTTATTTTGTCACAGGCACAGATCATACAAAAGGGAGAAAGATTTTTGGTAAGATGAAAAGAAATGCTGTCATAGGAAATATATATTAAGAAGGGCTGAATACTTCAGGTTTTGGAGGTAAGTAATCTCTCCTAGAGGAAGTGAAATCTATGTAGATGCCTGAAGGAGAAGCAGGAGTTAGGCAGGTGAGTGTAGTGAGGGAGAAGAGCGTACCCTGGCAGGAACTATCTTTACAAGGACCCCTGCATGAACAGAGAATGTAGAATCTTGAAGAACTTAAAGTTCAGAATATCTGAAACTAATAGGGCAAGTAGGGGCTCATAGGAGTGGGCTTATTGATTTTAGAGGAATAAACAGAAACCACATTATGAGACAAGTTTGAAAGTGATGCTAAAATAATTGGAGAACAACCAAAACATTTTTTAATAGAGGCATTGCATCATTAGATTTGTATTTTAGAAAGATTGCTGATAAGTAGATAGTTATTGGGAGATAATAGATTGAAGAAGCAGAAGGAATCCTGGAAGATCAGTTAAGAAGCTATTGCATTAATCCAGGTGTGATATATGATGGTGGCTTAGAATAGGGATGTGTAACAGGTGTGAAGAGAAATAGATAAATTAGAGAGCAATTTGGGGTATGAAATAGCCAACATTTAAAGACTGACAGAATTTGGGGGTTGAAAAAGGAGGAGACATGAATGAGGCAGGAGTTTCTGTTCTGGAATGCCACGTCGTTTGGTATTGGTCTATACTGGAATAGAGAGCCCTGGAGGAATACCTGATTCGGATGGGGGAGCTGATGGATTTAGTTCCACCTGAGTGGGATCCAAAGGGCCCAAGGGTCGTAAACATGGATATGTCAAATAGAGATTTGACAAATCAGAAGATGTCTGGCCTGTAGATGCATGTTGCGCTTGGGAAGCTGAATTTATTACCAAAGCTGTTAGTTCATTCAAAATAAAAATAAGGAAACAGCACTCATACTGAGCTGTAGTGTGTTTTGGTTAGCAAAGTGAACTGTTTTCATTTGAGGCAGATTTTTTTTTAAATTTTTCATCAGAGGGATTTATTAACTGTTTTCAATATGCTGTAAATTTGATATTCCCTCCTTCCACTATAACTCAGAAATGATAAGGTCATTTTTGCCATGGGAAACAAATTTAGAGCTTAAGTATGGGTGTATGTAAATGTGACCCCCAAACCAAAGATAGACTTGCTAGATCTGAAAGTCACCATTAGTTTTGCCGGCCTGTTGCCTCTTGAAACCAGATATAAAATATGACAAAGACTTTGCCCAGGAAAGGAACTTTTTATGAGTTTAGAATTTTAGGATAATAAAACACAGAACTAATAAAAGGAAAGTCTTCAACGTTCCAAATACTCATCTCTATCATTTTCTTGGAGAGAACCAAGAAAGCCATTGTATTATATGGCTTTGTAGTATAGAAAAGAAAAAAGTGAGTCTATCATTTAGGGCCCAAATGTATGGATTTAATGAATCTCCATGGGCAAAAAGAGTTTTTAGGTTTTAGGTTAAATAACAAAATGTGAAGAGAATTGCTAATTCTGAAGAGAGCCTAGATTCAGAGAAATTTTATTACATATTAAAAATGCTTCAAAGAAGAAATGAATTAGATGGGGATGTAAACTCTTATCACACCTCACTATGCTGCTCTAATGATTTCTCTATTAACAATTCCTTCATAGATAAAGCTGAATATACCACATTTTTACTGTCAGCTTTTTGTAATGTCTCAGTCAGAGACTTGGAGGCTCCCTGACACTGTAGCAGGGTTCATCCATCATCCTCAGAATGCGTATTGCTTGGCACATAGACATTCAGAAAGTCCCCTACATTTCCATTGCTTTTGAAAAAAATCTCATTCTCAGTGTGACAGTTTAATTTCATTAGAAACTGTTTCTCATCCAAAATTTTAAAGCTAGTTAATTGGCAACTAACTGTTCAATATAATCTACTATCTGAGTCATCATGAACATGAAAGAGCCAGCATGTTTTGCCTTATAGCAACTATTTTTGATTTTAGTATCTTCTTTTGAATGTGAAGTATACTTGGGACCTGATTTCTCAAAACCCCATCTTCTGTTGCATCACTTTGTATTCTTCCCATTTATAGAATTCTGTGGTGATTTCTATCCCAGAACTTTAGGAGGCCAAGGTGGGTGGATCTCCTGAGGTCAGAGTTCAAGACCAGCCTGGCCAACATGGTGAAACCCTCTCTCTACTAAAAAATACAAAAATTAGTCAGGCGTGGTGGCACGCGGCTGTAGTCCCAGCTACAAGGGAGGCTGAGGTAGGAGAATCACTTGAATCCAGAAGGCGAAGGTTGCGGTGAGCCCAGATCACTCCACTGCACTCCAGCCTGTGTGACAGAGCGAGATTCTGTCTCAAAAAAAAAAAAAAAAGAATTCCATGGTGATTTCTCATTGCAATATTGGTTATAATCAAAATTCTGATTTAGGTCTGCAAAACTTGTTAATCTAATATCAAACTACCTATTGTCCATTCCCTCCATCTCAGTCAGGTCAGCCTTTTATTGCTCCCTGTCACTCATTTCTCCCTGATGTATCCTTGACCTTCCTCCTGTGCCCTGTGTAGTGCCGCCCACTCTTTATTTTATATATGGTTCATAATTCACCCTGTAACCCTTGTCTTCAATGTCAACATTACTAACCACCCACTATAAAGATACGAGGACTGGCATAGATCAGAGCACCTATTTTACTTTTCTAATGTTTCAGGTCTTAAATATAATTTCATATATGAAAAATTCCATCACCCAAACCAAGTACACAAGAGAATTATGTGATGTGAACAGTGTTGCCTGGTTGTCAGGGTGAGATCTTATCCTTAAGACGACTAGAGACTAAAGCACACCATTGGAAAAACTACTTAACTGTGGTTTCACCATGTGAGAGCAAAAGTGTTCCAAGGGAGCCGTTCTAGGATCTCATGTATCTATACAAATCTTCTGTCACTCAGAAGTTAGACAATAACCTCAGCCACCTAGAACAGCTCTGAATCTAGAAACTGAATTAAAAACATAGATTTGGCAGCAAAAAAGCAACTTATTTATCCAGCAATGATGAATCTACAGGGGGTGTGTTGGGGAAACCACAGATTCAAGTCAGATTGTAATTATGTGGTTCATAAATGGAAATACCCAGCAAGAAAGAAAGAAATACGTTTGTTGGCTGGCTTTATTATATAATGCCAAGACATTTTCCACATAAGCCAAGAAATATAGGAGGATTAAGAGAAAACAGAGATAGAAGAAGGAATCAAAAGGAAATCCGTTGATAAATAAGAACTATTACTCTATAATCCTCTCACTAAATTTTGACATTTGACAAAATTCAACAGCTATTCCTTATAAAAATACTAAAAAATAGAACTTATTTAAAAGCGGATTGGGTATTTTTTCCCATAGTCAACAGTATATTTAATGGAAAAAGTCAAAAGAATTTTCATTAAAATCAGAAGATAAGCCAACAACCTCCTAGCACAATCATTATTATTGTTTTGTTTTAGAAAAGCCTATTCAGTGTGTATATGCGATACAAAAAGTACTAAATAAAATGAAATGAACATTTTATTAGCTTAAGAGAAATTGATTGAATACCTCAAATGAGAGAAAAAAGTGATTAAGTTAAATGATGAGTTTAGTAGAGTGGGCGTGCTAAAGTAAATAATATTATCTATGCTCCATCAGTAACTAAATTAAAAATATAATGGCATTCATGGTGACAACCTCTTATGAATTACCTGGAGAGAAATTTTTAAAAGAATAAAAAAGTAGATGATATTGGTGGGAGATTAGGAGACTCTCTTAGATCCCTGCAGGCTCAAAAGATGACACTCTGTATCTTACTTACAGGGCATCATTTCATTGTGAATGTGGTGTCCCAAGTATATGTACCCATATACATTGGTGTGCATGGTTTGTAGACATCTTGAGAGCGAAAAGTTTTATAGATTTTGAGTAGCTTAAATGCTAATCATTACTGAAGTCTAAACGTCTCCTTGCTTTATCTGTTTCCTGCCCCTCTGCAAACTATGTCCCGTCTGCTTGCTCACTTGCCTCCAAGTAGGTTCAGCCAATGGAAGGCATTGACAGACAACTACAAAGGCTAAAGGAGTGGGGCATCCAGGACCCATCTTCCCCTGTCTCTCACTAACTCGGGCAGCCTTTTTTGGCAGTAGTTACTTGCTCGTTAGCCAGCTCCTAAGAGCCCTTGTTGTTCTAGTTCCTTTCTGATGGAGCCAGCCCTGAATTCTGATAACATTGTCTCTTCCTTTGGTCTTTCTAGTTCTAGGGATGAAAGTGGCTTTTTGGATTTGCTCTTGCTAATCTTGGCTTCTTCCCTGTTTCCGTTTTGACTGCTGTGCTCTATTGCCGTCTGCATTAAATTTCCTCTACTTACCTACCCAGCACAGCACCTGTTTCTTGACTGGATGGTGAATTATACAAGCACATTTATGTTTTTATTTATTTAAAAAAATCTGTATAGAACAATATCTGGCACACAGTAAACAATCAATATTAGGCTGGGCATGGTGGCTCACGCCTGTAATCCCAGCACTTTGGGAGGTCAACTCGAGCAGATCACCTGAGGTCAGGAGTTTAAGACCAGCCTGGCCAACATGGTGAAACCCCTTCTCTACCAAAAATACAAAAATTAGCCAGGTATAGCAGCGCGCTCCTATAGTCCTAGCTACTTGGGAGGCTGAGGCAGGAGAATCACTTGAACCTGGGAGGCGGAGGTTGTGGTAAGTGGAGATCGCGCCACTGCACTCTAGCCTGGGCGAAAGAGTGAGGCTGAGGCTCTGTCTCAAAAAAAAAAAAAAAAAAAAAAAAGTCAATATTGTTGATTGAGTGCATTCTAAAACAATGAGACTGAAAAAAAAATGAACTGATCAAATTACTGGCAGAAATTGAGTCAACTAAACCTAATGAGAAGAGCCACACCATACACATAATTAAATTAGATCACATGGATTGTGTTTATTTAGTCATTAGAAAAGAGATTTGAAGGTGCCCCTCTCTCTGACCCAGTGCTAATTGGAAAAGCATTGCGGAGGTGTGGGGCAAGGATTTTTTTGAAAGAGTGCCTTTTCAAAATAAGATGTTAGAAAGCCTGCTTTGGGGGCTGATAATCAGTCAGCAGAATAGGAAATAAGAAAAGGGTTTTTTTTTTTTTCTCTTTCAAAGCTCTTGCCTCTGAACATAGTGTATTATCTGAACACATTTACATTTCCATAAGAGTGCTGATTTATGTTATTTCTTTTTATTATAACAAAAGCAATGTATTATTGTGGTAAGAAAAATTTTAAGTAAGTTATGGTTAAAGAGTAGTAGCTTCACCCTACCCACCTCTATTCCCACAAATATAAGCAAAGTAAATGGTTTATTGTAACTGAGACAGTGGTCTGTGCATATACTACGAATACACAAATTGCATGTTGCTGTGCAAAAACTGTCTTTCAGTTTCTTTATTTACTAAAAAGAATAACTTAGATGTCTTTCTCTAGCAATCCATAACTCTATGCCATTCTTTTTAATAGCTGTATAGTACTCTGTTGTATGGATACTAGTTTGTCAGATTCCTTATTGATGGCCATTAGATTTCTATACTAGCAGATGTCAACCTTAAGCAAAATAAGAGTTTAACTGTTTTTTGTTTGTTTGTTTTGGCCATGGTTTTTATACGTTCCTATTTTACTTAAATACCTGCTAGAGTAGATAAAGTCTTAGTGGTGGTAAAATGTCTATACCTTTCAAATACAAATGAATATATATGTGGACATTTGATTCTAGCGTTTTTAAGAATCTTTACTAAAAGTTCTTTTCAACGTCAGTTTTATTTCTTGAGAACAGTAATGCTGTTCTACTGCTCTAGGAGTTTAGAATTCATCCTAAAAAAGTGAGATCACTATTTCTTATTAGTTTTACTCTCTTTGCCTTCCATTGTTGTCCCATTATTTTCATTTGTTATTCCAGAGTACCATTCAGATTATACAATAGTTCAGGAGAGATTTCTGATGATGAAGAAGAATTTGTAGATTTTTAAAAAGGCCTTCTTAAAATGCCCAAATCTAGAGTCTTGAAATTCATAAGTTAATACCATTAAAACAACAAACTGGGCCCCAGGATAAATACTTGCTGTGAAGGAGCTACTTGTAGTAACACAGAAAAAAAAAAATATTGTCAATGAATGCTATAGACAAGTCAATCATTTACAGCAGTAGTGATGAAGCAGTTTTCTGGAAGGTTGGTGACCTCTTGGGAGATTATTACTTTGGCTTTTGATACAATGTTACTTTTTGTTCGGAGATAATTATATTATTTACAAGTTTGTACATTTTTCTGCTTTACTCATAAAGATAAGTCATCCAAAGATGCAAACTGTCAACAGAAACTTCTTTAGAAATAAAAGTTATAGGAAAACTGTAGTTTACCAATTTCTGTTCTTGTCATCTGCATATGCAGCACCAACTGTATCTTTAGAAGAAGACAAAAATTGAGGTATATAAACAGTATACCTACCCAGAAAGAGTTGATAGTATCTCCATTTTTGTTAAGAAGGCAAGAAAATGCACAATTAGCTTAGCAATGTTTTCTTCCCAAACCAGTCTTGATTACAATTATTTTGAAAGTGTGCTTGTCCAGAACTTGTTGTTTTCCATGATTCTTGAAAACTGTATTTCTGGACCTTCATTTCATTTTTAACATTCTTTTTAAGGCAGAGGTGTTTGAGTTACTAAATATATCAATATTAAAACACTGAATAGTGACCTTCATTTGTCCCAATGTTAATGTATTCAACTTGTTGAGAGGAGAGGAGATGGTTCTTAATCTGGGTCATTCTAAACAAGTGGAATTTTTATCTGCATAGCAATGGTATGAGTAGAAATCTACATTTTCTAAAATATGTGAAAATATATTTTAAATAACATTAGACTTTTAATATAAAAATGTTTTCTGGCTGAAGTTTATTTTTAAAATCTTTGCTGACTTACCCATACTCATGAAAAAATATGTATATGTGCATTACTTCTAATGTTAGACTGTTCCAGAACAATATTTTCTGCTTTCTGCTTCCTTTTGAAAATATTTATTTTTATCCTTTGTGTCTTTAGTCTTATTAAGGTGAAAAGAAGTTGTATTTTTTTTAATCTTCAACATTGCATAGTATTTAAAGGTGTAAAATGACTGGTTTCTTCTACATTTGTTCTTTAAGGAGAAACCATTTTCAAAAGGCAAAATTTGAAGATCAATTTGTCTTTTATTTGCAATTTTAGAATGCCAATACCTTATTCTTTAAAATACCACAAGGGCTCCAGTGAACTAAGAGAGGTAGTTGGCTTTCTAGGCAGAAAAGGACTAAGGAAAGCAGAAACAGAACCAAGAGTGGGTTGGTCGTTTCAAATTTACTTTCCTTATAGGGTTAAAAGAGAGGAGACTTATTACCCAGACTCAGATTGACTGGAATCTTTTATTTTTTTTTTTTAAACTTATCTCTTTCAAGATAGGTTTGATTATGTTACTTAGTGTAGGTGACTCCATTCTGATTTGGTCTAGTCTGCTGGGGCCTAGTGCAGGAGGCTGGTCTAAACCAATGGCCTTGCATAAACTTTAACAACATAGTAAAATCCATTAAATTAAGTGTCTGTTAATTTTTTAAAGCTTTCACTAGAAAATTAAAATGATTTCCCCCAATCATTATCGTTTAAAATTATATGAAAATAACTCCACTTACAAGTATGTAAGGTGATTTTTTAAAATAACAGTGAGATAAAAAGGATTATTTCTTTCGTGGGATAATCCTGATATCAATGTCTGTTATTTTGGCTGTTTTTATGGGAAGAGTGGGGTTTCTAGTCAGAAAGTTTAAACAAACACACAGAAACTTTTTAAGGCTGACTTTCATTACTTGAAAGAAAGAGGTATTTTTGGTAATAATTTTTTGAAATATAGCCCAAAATAAAGCTTGTAAAGTCCATGCTCCTTGATATTTATGTCAGGCAGAAAATAAGGAATACAGTGTTGGGTGGGAGAAAATCAGAGGAAATCAGTAATTATTGCTCTGATAATAATAAACTACAAATAAGACCAGATATGCTCCTACTATGGGCATGTTTAAAGACGGTGTTCTTGTGTGTTCTCTATTTTCACATATGATTAAGGTCAATATATGCCTCATAAATCAAATTATCATAGCTTTATAATATTTGTAATTTAGTCATATAATTACTTAGAGGACATTTTGTGAAGAGTAGGCTTCAAAATTCAGCTTTAAGGTTCTTTTTTTATTTAAAAATGCAGAACTACTTTGTATTAGAAAGACACCTTCACCACCTACTGTTTGGAAAAGCATGGTTATATTTAGTTCCTTTTATTTTGTAATATTCTAAACAAATGGCATTTTGCTTAAATATTTTAAAATTTTATTTTGTGCTTGTTCAACTTTTCTAAATTTTTTACTCTGTTAGCCCTTTATTTTGCATTATCTTTGCTTATACTTTAAAAATATATAAAATGTGCCAAAAATGTAATGATACTCTTGGGTCCTTTTGGGTAAAAAGTAGTCCTTCAAAATATGAGTTTTTTAGTTTACATCACACATTTATCATTGAGTTTTCTTAGCAGTCAGGTATTAAAGTCACAGTACTTGGTAATTGAGAAAAAGAATAATTGGCTAGATTCTAAATTTATGTGAGATATTTTAAAAGAAAGTTAACCTCTTAGATTTCCCATTTCTTGATGTGCAAAGTGAGCGTAATAATTCCCACATTGTAGACATTACACACTACTGCAAGTGCCTACTCCAGGTGTTCAAAGACAGTATGATGAATACTACTTAGTGTAATTTGAACTTAGACCCTAGTGCTATAAGTCACTGCAAAGGGAATATATACATAGATAAAATGGAGATTGGCGCTATGTATGCACATACACATATACATACATGCATGCATATTTTATATAGACATTTTGTATATAAATGTTAAATATCTTATATGTACATATATCTTCTGCCTATGTTTTCTGGCTTTCTGTGTCTCTACCCAACTCTCCAATCCCCTTCTAAAAGGAGAGAGGCACACACACTCCCGTGGATTCTACCAGAAATTATAACAGAAGAAGACTAAAGATGTCAAGAGATGTTGGCAAGTCTACATAAATCAGTCTGGATCTAAAATAATCTGTAAAATCCCATTAGCTTACAAAATCAGTGTGGTTACTATCCTGTAGGAGATTTATAGGAACACAGTTCTAGCATTTTTATTGCTATTTCAGTTGTTGACCATACTTTCCCAAATGCAGTGGAGTGACTTAAGTGACTTTCCCAAATGCAGTGGAGCCTCCATAGGTAAGCTTTTTGACAATAAAGGAAGAGCATGAAGCACGGCAGATAGAGCAAAGAATCAAGTTTTGAGTATTCACAGCTCCCTTAAAATCTGATGAGATTTCTTCCTTTTCAAATGACATTCTTGTAAGAAAGGTTTATAAAGCATAAAAACATTTATTTTCTGTAAAATTGTTGTTTCTTTTGTGACAGTCCCAATAAGATATGTGCATATATCTTTTTCTTATTTTTTTGGATGATTACTTACCATATTGTTTTTAAGAAACTGAAGCACAATAACCTTCTCTTTTTAACTAACACAGATGAAAGATGAAGAAAATATATTGTTTTGCTGATAAAAGTTTTTATGAAACAATGAATGGCAGAATTATACATGCTACAAGTTGTCTTTAGTGCTCTAAATAGCAGCAATATCTAATTTCTTCACCAAAAGCATTCATAATCAAAACACAGTCTTAATGACTTAGCTGGACTATTGTAATAAAAATATTAGAAGTAACCTAAAGTTATTTCAGTCTGAAGTATTTTTGTTTAGAAATTAGAAAGTTTTTGTGGCCGGGCGCGGTGGCTCAGGACTGTAATTGCAACAATTTGGGAGGCTAGGGCAGGCAGATCACTTGAGCTCAGGAGTTCACGACCAGCCTGGACAACATGGCGAAACCCTGTCTCTGCAAAAAATACAGAAGATTAGCTAGGCTTGGTGACTGACGTCTGTGGTCCCAGCTACTTGGGAGGCTGAGGTGGGAGGATCGCTTGAGTCTAGGGTGCAAAGGTTGCAGTAAGCCAAGATCGTACCACTGCATTCCAGCCTGGGCAACAGAGTGAGACTCCATCTCAAAAAAAAAAAATTCTGAAATTTTTAATCAGACGCATAAATACAATGATCAATATTCAGTGTTTCTTTTGTATAAATAAAACAGATTTACAAAAGAGCATCATATTATTATGTATTCAATCACTTCCTGTCATGTAATCCTTTATACTGGTTTTCCTAAGAGAGCTGTTTTCAGAAATCATTTTTTAAATTCATGGAGGTAATACTTGACCAATATCAGACAAATGCTTATTCTGGAATTTACAAAGATTTTAAAGTACTTTCAGATGAACAGGAATAATTTGTGTGTTTTTTTTGTAAAACCATGTGAACAAAATGAACCTTTTTAAAAATGAAGATACCTTTTATATTAGGCTTTTTTTGCATTGCTATTAAGAAATACCTGAGACTGGGCAATCTATTAATATAAAGAAAAGAGGTTTAATTGGCTCATGGTAGAAGCATGGCACCAACATCTGCTCAGCTTCTGGTGAGGGCCTTGGGAACCTTACAGTAATGGTGGAAGGCAAAGGGAAGTAGCCGTTTAACATGGGGTGAGCAGGAGCAAGAGAGAGGAGGAAGGGCCAAGCTCTTTTATGTAACCAGATCTCCTGTGAACTCATGGCAAGAACACACTCGTTACCATGGTAGTAAGCCATCCATGAGGGATCTGTCCCCATGATCCAGTTAGCTCCCACCAGGCCCTAGCTCTAACATTGAGGATTGCATTTCAATATGAGATTTGGGCAGGACAAATATCTAAACCATATCATCTTTTAATTCTCTTTGCCATCTTTACTACATTAATTTTATTATTATGAATGACTTTAGACAATTTATTTAGATTAGACTATCTAGATTAAAATTAGGCAGTTATATTTGTTCAGTAGCACATGTATCACCAATTTCTATTTTTGAAGATTTTTGGTGTCCCTGATGATGATGAACCATATGAGTGTGCAAGATCTGAATTAGTGAGTGAGTGGTTTTGCTCTGGCTGGATATGCTAAAAAAGTTATACTTTTCTTTTCTTGTTTTTTTTTTTTTTTTGAGACGGATTTTCGCTCTTGTTGCCCAGGCTGGAGTACAATGGCGGGATCTCAGCTCACAGCAACCTCCGCCTCCCGGGTCCAAGCCATTCTCCTGCCTCAGCCTCTGGAGTAGCTGGGATTACAGGCATGCGCCACCACGCCCAGCTAATGTTTGTATTTTTAGTAGAGACTGGGTTTCTCCATGTTGGTCAGGCTGGTCTTGAACTCCGGACCTCAGGTGATCCGCTCGCCTCGGCCTCCAAAAGTGCTGGGATTACAGGCGTGAGCCACCGTGCCTGGCCTATACTTTTATTTTCTTTACATTTTGGCATTTTGAAGTATCCAATGGATTTGTTTTCCTGTCTTTTTTCTTTTCATCAACTTTTAAGTTCTGGGGTGCATGTGCAGGATGTGCAGGTTTGTGACATAGGTTAACGTGTACCATGGTGGTTTGCTGCACAGATCAGCCCATCACCTAGGTATTAGGCCCAGCATCCACTAGCTATTCTTCCTGATGCTCTCCCTCACCCTACCCCCCTATTTTTCCATCTTCTGATATGGCTGTTCACCTTACACAAAAATAGCTGCTGTAGCTGTGTGCCATATTGCTGCTAGTTAATTTTGTCATTTGGTTTCTACTGAGCACAGATTTTCTATCACTGAGCACAGATTCATGCAGAATTAATGGATATCCTGAAAGGTAAGTGGAGAGAATTAAGAGAAATTATCTGTACTCCATGCTCATGTACGAAACCGTTTGGCTCTTCTATTTAACTATATAGTCAGAATGGCAAACCTCCCATTTCCCATTGAGGATACATGGCATGTGAAGGCTAGAATTTCAGACCTTCATCTTTGTGACACTTCCATAGACTGGTACCTGGTGACCTTTGTCCCTTCTTGGAAACTGCCTTTGTGATGTACCTGCCCTTGTCATGTCCCTTGATTCTGACCTCTACTACCACCACCAACACCACCATCCATCAGAACTATCCCTTAATGTACCTGAAATAACTCAATAAGTAACACCAACCTTCCTCGAGTTTTGTAAGCCAAAATCATAGGAGTTATCCTTGATCTTCCTCATTCCTTCACATTCCACATCCAGTTCATAACTTCTAAAAATGCCTTTTATCTGGATTAGTCTCCATCTCCCTAACTGTTCGCTCAGACTTCACAAATTGTCTCCTAAATGGTTTCTCTAACTTCTGCTGTCACTCCCTTCAACGTATTCTCTGTGTACCAGGTTTTTCTCCCAAGCTTAAAAACCTTTCAGCACCTTTCCATTTCCCTTTGAATTAGCGCTATTCTTCATTTATAGCTTGTGGTCCTTGCTTTTCTCTGTTCCTAGAATTCTCTTTTCCTAGATATCAGCAAAGCTTGATCCTTCCTCTCTTATTTCAAATCTTGATTCAGATGACCACTTGTCACTAAACTTTTGTGTGACCACCTGTTTTAAAGTACATCTGCATCATTGATCAGCAGTTGCAGAGACTGGGTGGTGATGAGGGCAAGTGTGAATGCAGAAGATGGGTCTGGAGGCCACTGCAAAAATCAAGACTAGAGATCATGGTGACTGGGACTAGGTTTGTGATATTAGGGATGAAGTAATGTAAACCAATATGGGGTGTATTTGGAAGTTTAATTAAAAGTTCTCACTTATGAATTGGATTTGGAGTGAGGAAAGAGAAATGAATCAAAGATTAGCCCCTTAGTTTTGTCTTGAATTACTAGGTAGGTGTTGATGCAAAAATGACAGGGGGAAGATTGTAAGAGGAGATGGCTTTTTGCAGAGGTGAGAAATTAAGACTGCTGCTCTGGATTTGTTACATTTAAATGCTAAGTGAAGATTTCAAATACACTGTTGGCTATGGGAATCTGTCTTTGGACATAGAGATTTCATAGTGAATGACGTATTGACATGTGAGATTACCTAGGAAAGTAATTAGAGTAGAGAGTACAGGACTGAGTCCTAAAGCATCTCAGTACTGAGAGTTTGAGCACAATGGGTAGAGCCAACAAAGAAGATTATGAAGACTGCCGGAGAGATACAGGCAGAAAAACAGGGAAGTATGGTGCCCCAGAGGTCAGAAGAAGCAAGTACTTCATGAAGAAGTGGTTGCCCAGCTGTGATGAACATCAGGGAAGATGAAAACAAAGAAGTGAATAATGGATTGGCAATCAAGATGGCCTCGACCATATAATTCTCTGTGGCCAGTATTGTGAACACTAATCTCCTGTGGCTCTTTAAGTTTAAATTTACATTAATTCAGATTAAATAAAATTAAAAACTCTTCAGTCATATTAGGCATATTTCAAATGCTCAGTAGCCACATGGGCGTAGTGGCTGCCATATGGGACAGCACAGAAAGAGGGCATTTCCATCATGCAGAAAGTTCTGTTGGGGAGTACTGTGGATGGGAAGTACAGGCCCTGAATGGGCACATCCTCCTCTGTCCTGACAGACTCCTCATTCTGTGGTGAGGGGTATGGCCAGAGGCAGACCAGAGCAGGGCCCTCGATGGCATTGGGTCCAGTGTTCCTGATTTAAAGAGGATGATTATCAAAAGTCTTTTCTTTTATTGAATGTAAGTGTTTTTTTCTGTAGTGACACCTATGGGAGATTCAGGACACTGGAGAATGTGATTGTGAGGGCTTGGGTTGTCTGGGAAAATGGTATTTTGTGGGCCGTATTTGCGCTAGCCTAAAGATGAATAAGATTCAGATCCACAACAGGGTATTGATATGTCCTTCAGCTGAGAAAAGAGAAGAATATAGGTACAGTTGCATTTTAGACAAACAACACATTCAATCCTCAGAACAACTTTAGGAGGGCAGGTACTGTTAATATCTTCCTTCCAGATGAGAAAGAGTTCCATCTTATTTCGAGACATAATATTGATAGGTAAACTGAGGTTTTATTCTGTTAGCTTTTTGGAAACTAAGTAGGGGAGTTAAAGTTTTCACATAGTGGTCAAAAAAAATGTTTCTGTTTTTCCCAACTGCGTTAAATTCGGAGAAGGTACCTCAGAAAGGCAGGCTGATCAGCTTTCTCCAGATAACTTCTATCTATAATTAAGTTGACTGCCACTCCATTTTATCAGAGTTCATGGCAGAATAGCTACTCAGTGTGGAACAGAAATATGGTTTATCTCACACAATGTCATATCACCCTAAATTTAACTTCCAACAAAAGTTAATGCTTTTTTAAAATATGAGTTAATTATTTTATCAACTATCTACTAGAGGCAAATGCCCTACCTTTTGTCATGTTGTTCTTTACAGTTAAACTATGTACATGCCTGTTTGTCACACTGGGTTATAAGCTCCTTGAAGCAAAGATGGATGTATCTTTGCTTTACCGTGGAGTGCTCTCCCCAAAGCTTTGCAAATAATTAGACATGTAATAGAAATAGCTTGGATTGAATTAACTACCATGTTAACTGCTGCTGAAATCAGGTTCAGGTCAGCAGTATCCCCCATCTATTTTCCTTTTGTGCTTGATCTTAGGGGGTTCTTCCCTGTCACATCTCTTCAGTTTACCAAAGAGAAAAAGAAAAATCCCTAACCACGTGCTACCTTGATTGGATGTCGTGTCGTTTATGTAAGGCAGGTTACCAGTTTGGCAAGGACATTTAAATTTATCGTCTGACTTCTGCAGTACTGTGCCACGCATTCCTAAGGCTTGTATGATAACTGGTACTTCAACAAAGAGAAACTTGTGAGGCTGATTCAATCACTCATTTTTTTCTCATGCAAATAACTGTTTTTGTTTTTAAAGAGTTTATTGCTATTCTCATTGAAGTTGCTTTTTAATAAAAGGATGTACAGTAATGCATGATCTTTTATTTAATAGCCACCAACAAACTTCAGAATGTATTTTAAAAAGAGGGGGACAATATAATATTGATTTTAATGATAGTAATTATTTGGAGAAGAAATTCTGAATTTAGCAGTCCTCCTCACAATGATTAGATTAGTACATTTTGCATTTGGGGATGATTATTTAAATTTAACAGAAGACGATTTACAAAGACAGTACTATAACAATACAATGAACAGGAAAATGAAGAAAGAGTATGACTCCTGAGTAAGACCCTTTTGCCTGAACATGAGATGGTTCCCTAAATCGCCCTATACATGAGGCTGCTGTTTATTTCCTTCCATAATTTGCTTTAAAATATGTTAATGATAAATTCTGTTGGTGTACAATACATTGTATTGCTTCTGGTTTGAAATATTCGTAATTCTTTTGTAATGTTTTTAAGATGATATCAAAACATTAGAAGCATTCATTTTGGATTTTATCATTGGCTCTTATGGATCAAATATTATAATTTTTATTTAAATCACCGTTTAATCGTGGCATATGATTACTTATGTGTTCTTTTGTTGGTAATACAAAAATCCAAAGTCTATAAAAATCAAATTCTGTAGTTGACATTTCTCATGCAGCCTGTTTTTGAAACGGAAGTGTTACATATCAGTGATTTTAAAACTCTTTACATGTTTATTCACTAAATACATTGACTTGCTTTTAAATTCAGAATTATTTACTTCCTTAAATCTATATACACTTTGTGTAATAAATTAAAATCTAAGTACAAATATGTTCCTCTGTTTTTGTATATTCCACGTCTGTCTCTTTCAGTATATGCTGTGACTATCATTTGTATGAAAGTCAGAAATGATCAGAATGAGAATGATTTAGGAAGATGCAGTTCTGAAAATTCCAAAAAGAGTATCTTCTTCAAATGTTACAGAAGAGGAGTTTTTAAACTTCAGGATTTGTTTGTATGCAGAGGTTAGTATTTCAAGTGCCAGCCATGGATGTAAACCAGCTTAAATCAGAGAAGCCCACCAGGTAAAAGATAAGAGTAGCTAAGCTGTTCTAATCAAGCATAGCCACCCCTCCTCACTTTGTATTTTCAAATGTGGGGAAGGCAATATTAAGCGAGCTAATAGAACATTCCGTTTTACAAGCCCTTAGTTTTTAATTTCTGTTCATTTCGTAGACAAAGCCACAAATCAGGCTGTTTATTTTGGGTTGTATGGATGAAAAAGACCCAGTTACCTGTTTATTTTATTTTATAATAAGTTTTGTTAACGTTATATAGAGAACATAATGCCACTTTCTTCCTCCATTAACACTCTAAGTAAAAAATTGAGGAAGAGCATTCATGATCTTGTGCTAGGACCAGGATTAGATGTGTAAAGTTATCAGTAAATTGGAATGGGAAAGCCAAAGTGGAGAATTGTTTTAAGTTTGTCAGTGTAAATTAGGCTTTGCATACAGCGGGTACTTTTTAGCTCTATCTGATAAACAACTGAGTTTATTTAGGAAAAAAAAATCATGTTGTGCAAAAATTGCCTGTCTATACAGAGGAGATGCAAAATGAGAGTGAAAGCATTTTGAAAAAACACAGGCAGAAGAAATATTATTTGAGAAACTTTTCATATGGGACATAAAAGATTAGAAAATGAAATTCTCCTGACTCTGGCAAATCTATAACTAAATCATGCCATTTGAAAAAAAAATGAATGGTTTTCTTAATATTTATAAGTTAGCAGATCTTTGACTAGGTTTTAATTGCTTTTGAGCAAATAAGTTGAAAATTTTTAGCTCCTTTATATTAATTACAAGAAAAAACATACCTTGCTAAAGAAATGGAAGCAATTATTTTATTGCTTTAAGCTTCTCAGAAATTTAAAAGAAAAAATGTTACTTCAAATATTTTTATCTTTTACAGAAAAATAGGCTTTAATGATTCTAGCAGAATGCAAAAATACAGAAATAAAAGTGAAATCTATGTTTTTATAAATAATGGTTTATATATATATGACTTATAAAAATGGAGTAAGTTTCCCCTAATTTACCTTTCATTTCCAAAACAAGCTTAATTTCTTTTTAATTTTCACTTGGCAAAGACTCCTGAAATTTGACTTTTGTTATCTCTAGAGAGCATGTTTGGGCATTAATGATTGTGAATAGGTGCATTTAAAAATTCTAATTTGTTTAGACGTTAACACTTTCAGATATCAGACTTACTTAAAAGTAGGTGTATGTTTTATTTTCTAATGCAATAATAACTTCTGTTTGCTAATAACATTGTCTAGTCTTTTTAAAAGCAAAAGTTTTGATAGTTTTTTTCTTTAAGCAGGTCAAAGTATAACTTTCCATTTAATAACAGTTTGGTTAGTTATACTGCTAGGTTATTTATTTAAAAAACAAATCTATTTAGAACATAGCCAAGAATCTGGGATTTAGAAAAATTGTCTTTGGGAGACCAGCCCTGTTCATGCACCTGTGAAAGAAAAATCCCATAGGTCCTTAAAAGCCTATTTATTCTAGTTTTAGGTACCAGTTTTACCACATGTTTGTTTTGCTTTCCAGCTCCTAGAGTGGTTTGGAAGCAACAAATTAGGAAGCGAATGGTTGAGTCATGGCTAGAGGCATCTGGAAGCAGCAGGAAGTAGCAGAGGAACCTCCGTCACAGGTTGGAGGCAATTCCTCATCAGGACCCAAGACTCTACATAGATGTTTAAGAGGAATAATTCCTTATACAGTTTTCACCCCTACGCTTAATGGCCTGTGATCACTTTACCATGCTGATGTGTCCTATGAGGCAATAAACTAATTGAACTCCCTTCTAACTCATTTAACTCTTCGTTAGCCTGGATCTGATGCTAAACTAAGAAGCTGAACAGTTTGGTGTTTGTTCATTTGGAGAGGAAAAGTGAAGTCCAGAAAACATTTCCTGTTTCAGGGATATCTAAGTGGGGTGGCAAGTATATAAATAGTTAAAATCAGGTGGGCTGAGTGTCAGTTTCCAAGTATTCATGAGCAGGTGTGGACCAGAGAGGAGGGGTCTTTGTGCACGGTGGAGAGTGAGGAGCATCTTATTAGAGGTGGCTTGAGCTGAGTCTCAAAGGAGCAGTGGGATTATCCAGGCAGAGGAGGTAGAGAACCATGCTCCAGGCAGAACGGCTAGCATGAGCAGTCACTGAGACGACTGAAGGATCAGGACTTATTTGAGAACCTCAAGTAGTTAAGGAGCTTGTGGAGGAGTGGGGCAGAGCAAGGGTCAGCAAACTTGTTTTATGAAGAGTAAGTATTTTATTTAGGCTGTGTGAACCATATGGCTCATCACAAAGACTCTTGCTCTGCTGAGTAGGTAGTGCAAAAGCAGCTGGAGGGGGATATGCAAATGAGAGGGCGTGGTGTTCCATGTCCACTATTTATAAACACCATCTGGTGGGATTTGGCCTGCAGGCCCCAGTTTGTGAACTTCTGTTGTAGAGATTGTGTTGGCACCAAGGCCCTCTACTGCTTTGAGTAATTAAGTCATTGTTTTTGTTGATATCTTCATAGGATTGATCTGCAAGGCATGATGTAGATAGAATTATGTGTGTTTATATACCTCCCCTTGTCTTCAGGACATTTTTGTTCTGCGTTTTAATTATTGTGGTTTTACTGTGTGTTTTGATATCTTATCTATGTTTCCTATTATGGAGAGTCTAACTTTTCTTAGAGTTATATAAAGCAGTTGTCTACAGTGTATAATTACCTACTTACCTTTTGTTATGTTTTCTTTTTGTGACTCAAATTTTATGTCACATTCATAACGTTGGGGTGGAAGAGAAGCAGAAAAAAGTTCAACTATCCCAGGGTCATAAAGGAAGGCTTCACCAAACAGTGACATTTGAGCTGGCCCATTTGGAATGAGTAGGATTTTGCCAGTCTGTGAAAAGAAGAACCGGCACTTTGGGCTTCAGAAATAGCATAAGCAGAAATAAAACCATGTGAAAGACAGTGTAATACTCACTGAACAGCAGGTTATTCTGAACATCAGTAAACTTGAAGAGTCTCTAGGTCTGTCCTTTATTTTAAAGTGTCTTCATTGATAGTCTCAGTAGTTTGAATTTTTCTTGTGGGCTGTGGAAAGTTCTTGTTTTTCTCCAGTCTGTTATCCCCATCACAGCCAAAATGATCCTTTTAAAACATAAATCAGATCATATCAGCCCTCTATTCAAAAACTTTCCTTCTCAAGATAAAATTCAAAATCCTGTCATCTCCTCACAGGGCCTCCATAGCCTTGCTCCTCACCCCCATTTCTGATCTTAGCTCCTCCCATGTTTCCTGCCACACCTCCCCTGGCCTCCCAGGGATTCCTTGGGTGCCCCTGCCTACTCACAGCTCTCCCAGCTCCTGTCTCTGGAGCACTGTCCACAAGGACACCATCCTTACTTTATTCAGGTTTCAGATCACGTCTCACTTTATCAGGCAGGCCTTCTATGAACACCCAATCTCAGTAGCACCTCCTCCCATGGCACTCTCTTGCCCTTTACCCTGCCTTTTCTTGTTAGAAAAATCTCTTTTTTAGGAAATTATATCTTATGTCACTAGAGAAGTTAGACTGCAAAATAGATGAGGACCATGAGAAGATAACCGGAGCCAAGGCAGAGGCATGCTGAGCAGTGCACAACGCAGAACAAATTCCCACGTCAAAAATAGTTTAAAATAAGTAATAGAAAGTTTGTACTTCCTTTGCATTTTTATCTTATTTCCTTTTAGTTTTGCCTACCTGGAACCACTTCATGCCACATTCAAATGAGAAAGTCTAGTTTTATGTAAGAAACATTGAATTTTTAAGGTTAGATTTTATGTCTTTTTGGCCCATGTAAGAAGGGGAAAAAGGTTTTTCCCTTTTTATTAGCCTTTGTATAATTTTATGTGATTATCCATAGAGAATATAGTTTTCTGTTGTGAAGAGAGGTTGTGGAATAGATAATTTAATTAAATTTACTTTGAGTTCATGCTTTTCCAAAACCAGGTATAAAGTCTGTGTAACTCTTATGACCCATTAAGAGTCTAAGATTCATGAGAGACATCCAGGGAAGATGCCAATGGAGTTACTGCTATTTTATCATGAAGTCCTTTATGACAGCTAAAATACTAAGAAAAGTAGCAACTAGATTATATATGATAAGGATGTATTAACTATATAAACATCTGTTTGGTGACGGGGTGGCTGTGGGGGTCAGGGGTTTATATGAGCACAGGATAGAGTCGTGGCAGGCCAGAGTAGTCTTGGAAAAGGCAACATTTGGGCGTGAAAACAGGGAATACCTGTTCTCTTTAGAGCTGCCAGTTTCCAGGCTTGAGGCTGAGGCCTTTGCTGGGGAACCACCCTGTTCTACCCAATATTTCCTTGCCTCCTGTCCATATCAATAATAATAAGATCTTCATAGAAATGAAGAAAACAACTTTTACAAAGCCAATAGTTAATGACAATCATTTGATCACTTATTTTTCATAGAAATGCTACTTCCAGCAGTATGGAGGAGTAGGTACTAGCAAGAAGGTGACATCAGTTTACAAAGAAAACACCAGTAGACTGACAGCCAACCTGTCAATATCAACAGTGGCAGCTAGAAGACAATGGGATAATATTTTCAAAATGCTGATAGACAATGTCCACATAAAGCTGTGTGGTCACTCACTATAATTCTGTGAAATACCTTCAAAATATTGACAAAAATAAGGACAGTTTTGAACAAAAACTGAGAGACTAAAAGGAAATTCTAAAGCATTCAGCTAAAAGATTCCAACTTATTATTGCTGAGTTAAAAATAGAACCCAAAATGATGATCTGAGCTGTAATATGGAATAATGACTAAAAAAAGGCATTTTATAAAAGCGTGCACATTTTCTTCTTAAAATACTATTAATACGGTCTGATTGATAGGATTTTTATACAATGATAGAGCTGAAGTATTAGACTGTAATAACATTTAAATTTGGAGAGGACATTGGGAGTTAGTTTCTAATGTCCTTATATAGTTTGTTAATTATACTTGTTTAAAAAAAATTGAGAATAACTGCTGAAAGAACAGAGGTTCAATGTATAATTTCCCAAAGAAATTGAATGGGAATAGAATGTGTAAGACAGCAAGCAAACAAAAAAGTATTTCTTTTCTTTTCTTTTTTTTTTTTTTGAGACGGAGTCTCACTCTCACCCAGGCTAGAGTGCAGTGGCACGGTCTCTGCTCACTGCAACGTTTGCCTCCCGGATTCAAGTGATTCTCCTGCCTCAGCCTCCCGAGTAGCTGGGATTACAGGCGTGTGCCACCATGCCTGGCTAATTTTTGTATTTTTAGTGGAGACAGGGTTTCCCCATGTTGGCCAGGCTGGTCTCAAACTCCTGACCCCAGATGATCTGCCCACTTCTGCCTCCCAAAGTGCTGGGATTGCAGGCATAAGCCACCGCGCCCAGCCACAGAAAAGTATTTCTGTGTCATTTTTTAGAAATCAGAATTGAAAAAATTAAACAAAAAGGACAAATAGAAACATAAAAAATAAGAAAAGGAATAAGGTAAAAATAAAGCCAAGTATCACTAATTATAAGCCACGTAAATGAATGTGGAATGCACAATTCTGGCTGGCCCCCAAGAGTTCCTGTCTGCTTCAGCCTAGAGTACATGTTTTGCATAATCCCTGGAATTGTGAATTTGATGGATTTTACTTCTGTGATTAGGTTGTATCCTGTGGCACAATTGTCTTTAAGAAAGGGAGATTGTCCCAATGGACCTGATCTTATCACAGGAGTCTTTTAAGGGAAGAGAGTTTTCTCAAGCTGGTCCTAGAAAGGGAGGTCTGAGAGATTGCCACATTGCAAGGACCTGAGAGTAGCCACTAAAAGCTGAAAACAGTCCCAGCTAAAAGCCGAAAGGCATCTGTCCTACAGCCACAAGGAACTGAATTCAGCCAATAATCTGTGGTAGTGTGAAGGTGAGTCTTTGCTAGTTGAACCTCCAGATTAGGACTCAGCAAGCTAAAACCTTTTTTTTTTTTTTTTATTTTAGCTGAGTATAGCACCCAGCTAAAATGTGCTGGATTCCTGACTCACAAAAACTGAGAATAATACATTGTCTTGTTTTAAGTCAGTATGTTTGCAGTAATTTATCATGTAGCAATAGAAAATTAATACAAGAATCTAATTCCAAAAGCCAAAAGACAGAGACTCTGAGTTTGAATTTAAAAGTATAGTCATATGTGGTTTACACACCTAAACATGAAAACAAAGGTTGAAAATAAAGGAATAATGACAAATTTGCCCTGGAAATACAGCCATTTTGTTTCAGATCATTCAGATTTTAGCACAGAAAACAATTGGGTGAAGATAGTTTTACTAGTTTATCAGGACAGTATAAAAATACTAAACCTGTAAGCATTTTTTAAAAATAGCATGAAAATATATAAAGCACAATTCATCAAATGTAAAACGTTAAAAAGTCATCTACTACAGAGGTAGATTTTAATACACCTTTATCAATTATTTTTGTCAAGCAGGAAAAGCTGGTAAAGATTAATGATTTATACAACACATTTAATAGGGTAAATGGAATAAACATATATAGATTCCTGTATCTAACAGTTTAGAAAATAGGCATTCTTTCAAGGACATGTAGTAATTGCAAAAATGTATCACACAATGTACAACAAAGCAAGCTTCATCAAATTTCTGAAAATTTCTGTCACAAAAACCATGTTTTCTAACCACTACACTTAATTAGAAGACAGTAAAATTTAAAAATACATTTTGAGATTTGACATTTTTCTAAGTTACCCATGAGTCAGTCAAAAAATCATGGTGGAAATTTTCAAAAATATTAGAACTATATCGTAATGAAAATAAATTTGCAGGAAGCTGTCAAACTGGTCTTTGTAACCTTAAAAGAGAATAAATGTACATATTAGAAAAGACAAAAAGCTCACCATGGGAGTTCATGTTATTATGCTTCCTAACTTATATTAATTGTATTCTTTTGTATATTTCAAATATTACAAAGTAAATCTGTTCAAGTTCTTTTTTTTTTAGTATTGATTGGCGAGTGATCTTCCTAATTTGGCAATAACTACTACGTTCTTTTCACTTAAGTATTCTTTTGCACATGATATATGAAAATCTAAGATGACCAGTGTTGAAACATAATTGTAAACCATACTCAAATTATTCCTGATTATATTTTTATATCTCATAATTAAAATACCTATTTAAAATATGGTCTTTAGTAATGACTGTAGATCTTTGAAACTTTGTAAGGGCAAAGAGCTATAATTCTTAAAATTTCTCTTTGGTTAATATCTAATCCAAAAAACATATTAGTGAGATTTACTTAAAACCTGTAAGTGAAAATTTCAGTATCAAGGAAAGTGTCAGTTCTGAAGAAAATATTATTTTCAAGGTGATGATCAGTTGGCCCATGTTTCTTAGTTTCAGTCACTTGAATTGGGAGTAGTTAATGGTTTCACTCAAGGTAAGCCATCTGCCAAGGTGGAGGGTGGTATAATAGGATGTACTTGTGTGATCTTCAGGCCTATATGACTATGTACCACACGTTAGTGTTAAGTGCCCTTTGCTGAAGAAAACAGAAGTCAATTATTGGATTGATTCCAATTTAGAATAGACAGACATCACTGCAGTGACATTTTCCTGAATAACTGAGTTTATCAAGACTGAACTTATTGTAAAAAGGGCATCATGTGATTTACTTTACATGGGTCTATGGCTGCTAGTAAGAGTCACTAATTGATTTATAATCTTTTCTAATTTATGGTAGTGCGTAATTGCTTAAACGTATTGAACAGGCATGAAATGTTTCACAGGGGAAGTGTCACCACCACCTTCCCTACCTCAGCCCAGCTTTCTCTTCTGATAATGCAAATGATTTACCTATGTAGAACTGTCTATTTTCTCCATAAAAAGCAATATATCTAGTGTCCATAAAATAGTTCCAAGGTCAAATATTCAGACAATCTATAAATACCTTATCTGAAATCATCACAGTATGAGCAAAGCTCTGTAATAAAAATTCAGAACTGCTACTTCCTTAATAAGTAGTCCACAGCTCCGAAGGCTGCATTTGACCTCATCAGAATTCTCCCCTGTGAACAGTCCTCGACCTTGCCTTTTCCATTGCCATTATAGCCTTTGGTTCTCTTACTTGCTTTTTTTAAGCAAGTTCACTTGTATTCATTTGCATTTTTAATGAGTTATTTGCTTCAATGTTTTTTTTTGAGTAGTGCCATATGTTTACTATTTAAATTGTAAATTCTGAGGGCCTTCTTAATTTAAACACTATTATAGGGCTTTTGAATACATTATCAGCATTAATTATTTTTAGATATTTTAAAACATATTAATACATATTACAGATATTTTGTAGCTTGACATTTTCTTTTCCCTGAGAACAGTATTAAATCTTTTTATAGCATGTCTTTTTTACCTGGAACAGAAGTTAAACACAGTCAAGTTCATGTGTTGTTATTTTTTAAATAAAATAGTTCACTAAAGAGTTAAGGCTGAGCAAAGGTTTATATAGTTTTCAGAAAAAATCCACAAAAACCAATATAAACACAGAGAAAGAATAATAAAATTGGGTTTTAATAACTCATTTCTGAGTGCTTTGATTATAAAATGTAGTTTTGGTCATTTAGAGCATTACTATCTAAGTTGCTTTTAAGCTGTGGTTTCTAAACAGTAAAGACACAACAACCATACCAAAACTAAACAAAAAATTGATGAACCAGATTTTGAGAATTACCGTCTCTTTAAAATCAGTCTAGTGATGAAATGATTGAAATCTCAAGCCATATTTAAGAAAGCTTTGTCTCTTTTCAGTTGTCTGGCAGATGATATTCATGGTTCATTTCATGTTTATGGTTATTCACCCTTTTGTTTATTAAAAATAAAGGTTGAGTTTACTATAAGTGATTTCTCTGAATTCTTATTGAAGTCCTCATTTAATGGGAGCAGAGGGGAGAGCAAAACTGGTCAAATAGATCATCGATTATGTTGTTTATATATATATATAAAATAAAGATTCTTTCTTTAGGCTTTAAACCCATAAAAATGTGGAAGGTGAAATGGTCAATGCACTAACCAAATGATGTAACCGAGAAAGATGAGCAAATAGGAGAAAGAGAGGCACCTAACAGCACCAGCCTCATTTCACTCATTTATACCACAAATATTCCAGGTGTTTGGAAGATAGCAGTGGTCAAAATAAGGTCTCTGCTCTCACAAAGGTTCACTCATGTCTTCTGTGTCTGATACTTCTGGTTTGCACAGCTGAGCCTAAAGACTTCCACTCCTAAAAGCTTGGCTCTTTTTGAGAATATTCTTAAAATATGTCAGACAGTACTTTAGCCTTCCATTGCTTACCACTAACATACAACACGTATGAGCCTGTCTTAGCTAAGTGAGGTATTAAAAAATTTTAAGAGCAGATGGAGCAAGGACCGATCAGTTAGAATAGATTCTGGCACCAAAGAACTGGATTCTGCACTCATCAAGAGCTTGTGATTCATGATGACCAGTGGCTTCCTAGGTGCTCTCAGATTTACTCTCCTTCCTTCTCATTAGTGGAGTCTTACCCAAGTTCCCTGTTCTGTGTTGAGCAGTGGTCACAGTTTCCTGCTGGGTTTCTATCTCACTGTCTTCCCATTGCCAGTTCTCATGTGAGGGGTCACCCACCTTACATTCTGCCCTCAGATACGGCACTGAGGAGATTTAGTAATCCATATACTGTCTAACCATCTTTAAAATCCTGAGCATTCAAAATACTGAATGAAACTAATAGTTTTGATTTTTTTCATTCCTTTTAAAAATATATATTCATATTGAAAGGGATTTGAAAAACTAAAGGAAGAATTTTGGTCCCTAAATCAGCTTACCCAGGGTGAAAGTGGGTGGTGCTGACATGTAGGTGTGTAGATTAAATTCTGAAATATATTTGCAGTGCAAATGGCCAGACACACAGAAAAATCCAAACTAAAAATCAAATCATTGACCATGAACAGGATGTGTCAGAATCCCTTCCCTTTTATATGAGGCACAGGACCCAAGCACGTGGCCGTCTTCCATCCTCCAGGAAATAGCTTACAAGGAGAATTAGAAGTTTCTCTAGGAAATCCCGCTTTGATTCAAGCCTTAATATGATCACTTCCACGAACTCCACAAAAACAACATTCTAGTCTTTTCAGGCAAGTGGACCAATAAAAAATATAGAATTATTTTCTTATTCATTTGGCAAGATTTATTGAATGTCATTCGAAACTACAAGGAGCTCGCCGTCTTATAAGAGAGATATCTGCAGGCAGATAACTTTAATACAGCATGGGAAGTGGAAAAATTTGGATGGATAAAATGTATTATGGGATTCTGGAGGAAAGCTAACCAGCCTAGAGTGAGCATCAGGATGCGTCATGGAAGACAGGGAATGTCTGAACTGTGTCCTAAAGATGTGTTAGGAATTAGGAAATAGTTGGGTGTGAAGGAAAAGTGGTTGGGAGAAAATTGTGTTCAGAGATAGCGAATGTGTGAAGGGCCCAGAGGTGTCAGGAACATGGGGAAACTATGTACACTTTGGAGGCAAGTGGAGTGGGACTGGACTCCGTTTGTACTGTGTTCAGGAACTTAGAATGTGCATTCCTGGTGATGACTTATCCTGCATTTTCTCCCCGCTCAGTTTACATTCCTTTTTCTCTTTCATATTCTCTTTTCCAGTCTCTTAACAATTGTCAGTTAGTGTATGGTACAGGAAACACGAACCACTCTAAGTATTTCAGGAGAACAGGAATTTAGTATAGCGAATGCTCGCTTATTCATTGAAGAGAAGGAGGGATGGAAGTCAGGTCTGCCTCCCCATCATTGATTTCAGGACACGCCACCATAGCTGTGAAGCAGAGACAGAGAAGCTGCTGCTGCTGTTGCGAGTACTACAGCTGACACAACTGCCTCCCCCGCAGACTAGTAACTCGACTCTGCAACGTTGAATGTTGTTGCTGGCAACCAAACCAGCAAGATGACCTCCCTCTCATTTCCTCCTTCTGACTCTTAAATGAGAACATCTCACTGGCAGAATACAGAACCTTAATGTTGAGGAGCTTGATGCTTCAGGGAGATGATTAGAAAGCAGTGGCAATGGATGACAGGCAACAACTAATCAGTCATATCTCATACTTTGTACTTATTTATATGTTGCATAAGTAAAAATGTTAAATTTGATTCCTGCCCCCCACTGATCCCAGTTTCCCCAAAGAAACTATCTGGTGACCAGAAAAAAAGTCCAAGGAAGTCAACAAGGGATTAAAAAGAAATCTGGAGAGTAGAAGGCCCCTGGCTGGTCCAGAGAAGAAAGAAATATATTTGAAAGACAAAAGAGATGACAAGGCTTAGAGGGAAATCTTTATTGTAGCTAATTTGAGTTTGTTCTCAGTGATTATCCCTCCACCCCAATTTCCACTTTAACCTTCCGTTTCTCTTGACTTCAGCCTCATCAGGTCTCTGAAGGCAAATGTTCTAGCATTATGGATATCATAAAGCTGAATGACTGTCTAGGCGTGAGGACACAAGTATTGCTTTAAGAATGTATTTAAAACAGCCATGTAAACACACACACATGCACATCCGTCTGGCAGTTACCTTTAAGTACTTTTAAGATTTTTTTATCTCTATGTCAGAATAAATACCAAGGCATGGACTTCAAAGAAGGAAATGTTTGAAAAGTGCTAACCATAGAAACCAACCAAAGTTGTGTTGGCATGTATTTTTAAATGTTACTGTTAAAATCAGTTAGATACTGTGTACATTGCCCAAATCATATAAGTAAAATGTTATTGCAGCATAGTATATGGGCATCTGGTAAATCTTCAACTTGCTGACAGGTTTGGTTTTGTTGTGTTTGCCAAATGAGAAATGAAGCAATCAGGGAAAACTGACGCTGTGCTCTGATTATGTTCTGAATAAGAAGGAAGAACTGCTTGATGACGTCACAGTGATGGCAACCTGGGGAAAATGAGAATTTATATTGGAGCTTGTAAAAGTAAGAAAAGCAATGTTAGATATAGAATGGAGAGGTGAACCTTAGGAAAGCTGACTTACAATGCCTTAAATGGCAGAAAAGTTCTTTTAGTTCAACATAAATGAGAGATTCAAAGAATGTTCTAACTGGGTAATCGTACATCGTATAAACAAGCTAGACATGAAAACCATGTCGAGAAGGAATCAGCGTGGCTCTACTCAGAGCCTTCTGATTTTGAACTACAAGGACAAGTTAGCCAGGGCCACAGAACTGTTCAGTACTTGTTTTGTCAAAGGAGAAAGCAACCTCTTAACATTTAGAAAGGGAAACAAATTTACTTAAGAGGAAATTAAAGCCTTCAATAGAAGAGAAATTGATCAGAGACCATCTGATTTATCACTTTGTCATTGAGTCCATTTCTTCATTTAACAACTATTAAAGAGTAATTACAAGTTACCAGGAACTATGTTATATGCTGAGTATATTATATATACTCAGCATATAACTGTTATAGATATGGATATAGATATAATTTATCTATGTACTTGCAGAATAATTATAGAAAATCTAGGAGAAATCAAAGATAAGGGGACTGGGCCAGATATGTCTACAATTTTGAAAATGTAAAATTAAACCCTGAAAAATATATATTGCTATACTTGTTGGAATTTACAATGTATTATTAAATGCAATAGTTCAGGTAGGTAGGAAAATAATACTAACAATCATATAAACTTACATGTGTTTCCTGAGAAGAAATCACAACAAATGTATTTTTTAGTTTGTGGACATTGAAAAAGTACCATCAGTATAATTTGGCATGATTTTAGCAAGATATTTCTCTTTTTCTTATAGTTGTTTTTGATGAACAAAAGAGAAAACTTACTCTGAATAATGGTGCATCTATATAATAGCTTTATTCTTCACAAAATACATACATAATGTTTAATGAATTAAAGTTTACCTGCAGAAAGGTCTAAATTAAGGACTTTTTTGTTTCTGTAAGTTTTTTTAAAATTGTATAACACATGGAGAGATGTACAAATTATAAGTACAGTTTGCAAATTTTTCACAAAGTAAACACAGATATATGTAACTAACAATCAGATAAAGAAATAATAATTTATATGCCCATTGATGTCTCATCCTAGTCACTACCCATTTTCAAGAGTAATGATTATCCTTTAAAAAATATGACTTTAAAAAATATGGATTTGTTTTGCCAATTTGTAAATTTAGGCAGGTTTTGATAACAAGTATGCCAGCTTCATAAAACCATTCACTATGTGTTTCTTCTTTTTTTGTTCCGTGGAAGAGTTTGTGTCAGATTTGGGTGATTTATTTGATAAGTGTTTGAAACAATTCTTGAAGCAAACTTATTAAACAGTTCTGTTTTTTAGAATTTAAAAATTTATCGGAATAAACCTTTTTATAACAATCTTATTGTTTTTAGGCCAGGCGTAGTGGCTCACGCCTGTAATCCCAGCACTTTGGGAGGCCAAGGTGGGCAAATCATGAGGTCAGGAGTTCGAGAGACCAGCCTGGCCAATATGGTGAAACCCCATCTCTACTAAAAATACAAAAATTAGCTGGGCATGTTGTTGTGCACCTGTAGTCCCAGCTACTCGGGAGGCTGAGGCAGAAGAATCACTTGAACCCGGGAGGCGGAGGTTGTGGTGAGCTGAGATTGTGCCACTGGACTCCAGCCTGGGGGTGACAGTGAGACTCTGTCTCAAAAACAAAAAACAAACGAACAAAAATCTTAATATTTTTATAATGTCTGTAGGCTTTGTACTGAAATCACCCCCCCCCCCCACCGCCCCCGCCTTTTTTCTTTTGAGATGGAGTTTTGCTCTTGTTGCCCAGGCTGGAGTACCATCTCGGCTCACCGCAACCTGCACCTCCTGGGTTCAAGTGATTCTCCTGCCTCAGCCTCCCGAGTAGCTAGGATTACAGGCACATGCCACCATGCCCGGCTAATTTTATATTTTTAGTAGAGACGGGGTTTATCCATGTTGGTCAGGCTGGTCTTGAACTCCCGACCTCAGGCCTCCCAAAGTGCTGGGATTACAGGCATGAGCCACTACACCCAGCATTTTTTTTTTCTTTTTTTTTTTGAGAAGGAGTTTCGCTCTTGTTTGTTGCCCAGGCTGGAGTGCAATAGCACAATCTTGGCTCACTGCAACCTCTGCCTCCCAGGTTCAAGCGATTCTCCTGCCTCAACCTCTCAAGTAGCTGGGATTACAGGCACCCGCCACCATGCCCGACTAATTTTTCTATTTTTAGTAGAGACAGGGTTGGATCGCCTGAGGTCAGGAATTCAAGACCAGCCTGACCAACATGGTGAAATTCCATGTTACTAGAGGGCGTGCTGAATGATTGTATCCCTTTAGATTTGTTAAGACTTGCTTTGTAGCCCACTGTGGGGTCGCATTGTGGTAAATAGTTCATAAGTACTTGAAAAACACTGTGTATTGGATAGATATCAGGTACGTTGTTCTAAATAAGTAAGATAAGTTTGTTAATTTTTTTTTCCCCCTGTCTTCTATAGCCCTGCTAACTTTTTCTCTTTGTCTATCTGTTACTGAGTGAGTTATGCTAAAATCTCACACTATATTTGTAGGCTTGTCTATTACTCATTTTAGTTCTTTATGCCTTTGCTTTTTAAGACTATTTTTATAAATTGACATATATATGTCATATGTATGTGTGTATATATATATATATACACACACACGTATATATGTATGTATGTATGTATATATTCCTGTTGGAGTGGTTCTTTTGTCAGTAAACTGTCCTTTTTAGTTTCTAGTAATTATTCTAGCTTACCATCTTTTTTCCCTAGTATGACTATAACTGTACCAACCTTCTTTTGCTTTGTATTTGCCTAGTGTTTTTTTCATTCATTTACTTTCAACTTTTATTTTCTTATATTTAAGAGTTACTACATTTAAGTTTTTCTTAAAAATCGAAGCTATAATTTTAAAACCATAAAAACTAGACTACTTAATTGCAGAATGTAGTACTGTACATTATACCATCACACTGTATGCTTTTTATTCCCTTTTTCCTGATATTTTAAAATTTCCTTTCCCTACCTTCTCTTTAGTGTAAATATTATTTTCAGTGGTTTATCCTATAAATTACATTGCCCCTGTGGCATTTTCATGCTCACCATAGTTTAATCCTTTTACTTAATTTCTAGACAATGCAGAGATCTTGGGACATTTTAACTCTATAAATTCCCCCCCCCCTTTTTGCCCCACATTTTAAACCTCAAAATATAATTATTGTTAAGACAGTATATTATTAGCCTAGCAAGATGTCTTCATTACTCAGTTAGATTTATGTACATATTTACCTTTTCCTTTGCTCTTTTTTCTTTCTTGTATTTCCATATTTCTATATTAGGGATGATTTTCCTTGGGCCTGAAGAAATTTTTTAGTACTTCTTTTTACATGGTCTGTTAGCCATGAATGCTCTGTTTTTATTTAAAATGTTTGTATTTTGTCTTCATTTTTGATAGAAAAGTATCAAAGTTGTCAATTGTTTTATTTTTTTTTATTTCAGAATGTAAACCTATCCTGTTGTCTTCTGGTTCTGTCATTTTGTTGAGAAGTAACTCTTCAAATAGTTACTCTTTGGGAGGTCATCTTTTCACTGACTACTTTTGAGTAGTTTCTTTTGAATTTATATTGCTTGGGATTTACAGATTCTTGAATTGTACAGCAAAATGTCTTTCAGAAAATATCTGGCCAGTATTTTCAATGTTGCTGTGCCCTGTTTCCCTATTCTTTCTCTCCACTCCTCTGGGCCTCCAATTACACACATGTAATACCTTTCCTGTGTGTCTTGTGTGTTTTTGTTTTGTTTTCTTTTGTTTTTTGAGGCAGTCTTGCTCTGTCGCCCAGGCTGGAGTGCAGTGGCGTGATCTCAGCTCACTGCAACCTCTGCCTTCCAGGTTCAAGAGATTCTCACACCTCAGCCTCCCGAGTAGCTGGATTACAGGCGCCCACCACCATTCCCGGCTAATTTTTGTATTTTTAGTAGTGATGGAGTTTCGCCCTGTTGGCCAGGCTGGTCTCAAACTCCTGGCCTCAAGGGATCCACCCACCTCCGCCTCCCAAAGTTTTGGGATTATAGGCGTGAGCCACTGTGTTGGGCCTGTTTTATGCTTTTTAAAGTATCTTACTACTCCCACTTGAACTACGTTCTCATTTTTGCTCATTCATTTTTCAGTTCATTAATCATTTCTATGTCCTTCTGCTGTCAAACACAAGTGTCAGGTTTTCAATTCAAATACTGTATTTTTCGCTTTTGGAATCTATATTTGACTAGGTTTTTGTTTGGTTTTGTAGACTGCAGTTTTGGAGTACAATTTTCTTATCTGTTAAGCATTTTATGATTGTTATTTTAAAGTACATGTTGGATAACTCTAAAAATTTTTAATTTGTTCTTATTTTTCTTATCTATTTCTCTCCTTTTAGTTTGTTCTTATCTATTCCTCTACTTTTAGTTTTAAGTAATTTGGGATAGTATTCTGAAATATTTTGTAATTTAAGTGAATAGCAGACGTTGTGATTATGCCTCAAGGAAAAAATGATATACATTGATAGTTCCTTTTCTTGTGTTTCTTTCCTTCTTGGATCTTGGACCTTAAAGTTCTGATTGTTTTAGTTGCTCTCCAGTGTCTTAAAATGCACTTTTACAAATTTAATCTAGTTTTGTTACTGTTTCTAATATGAGAGTTGATTTAATACAAACTACTCTGCCTTGGCTGAAATGAAATTTGGGCTTTTCTTTTTCCACATTTTACGTGCTATAAATTGTCCAGATTATTTTGCATGTCATCACTTTGGGTCCCTTTCATAAAGCTCCTCATGAAAAAGATTTGCAGTTTAATGTGGTTTTTGAAACAATGGTAAGAAATGTATACAGCTCACTACTGAGATAATGTGATTATAGAGCTACTCATGTTATTTCTTTTTATCCTAACAGAAAGCACAAAGTTATGTCTGGAATTTAGGCAATCAAGTTGACCTTAACATTTGACTTATTATAGACTCCTTTTTTGTTTAGTGGAAGGGGCCTTGATTTTTTATTTGTTGTTTTTATTATATAACTGTATATGTCTTTCATCATATATTTTCTGTCAGACTTCCTTATACCTGTACTTGGACAATTGAAGCTTTTAAACCTGTTTACTTGTTATTTACTCCTTAATTTTATATTGGATTGAAAACTATTACTCTAACCTTATTCAGACTTGACAACATTAAGTCCTCTTCAAAATTCTTATTTTTATGGTCTTTTATGTACCACTTTTATCGCATATATATTCCTTCATTCTACTGTGATCTTCTCATGTCAGTGATTAATGAAAATTTAGCACTTCCTGAATGATGAATTTTGTGTTGATTGATGTTTCTGTTGAACAGAACTTTCAGCACATTTTACCCAGGCAGTTAGACTAACTTTTGAACTCCTTTGTAATTTAAAATCTTTTGGATTGAATATTTTGGATTTATAGTCAATAATATTTTCCTTACTCTGATCAGTGAATGATATAAACGCTTTCCTTCAGTCTTTTATAAATATGCATCAGATTTTTTTCTACCTCATACTGGGGACTATTTACAATCTGATATAATTGTTGTGTATCTGTGGGAAGATAATAGATATAGACCAGTGTTTTTTCCCTAGAGAACTCAGCTCCATTTCCAATCATATTGCTTATGTTCTGCTTCATCTACTGATCAGCACTGAGGAATTTAATAGTTTGTTAAATCCTTAAATCTAATAATTTAATCCCACTCACTGGTAAAGTACAACTATGAGAGAAATTAATTCCTAATTGAAACCAAGTATAAAATGGGTAATGCTATCTGTATGTCACTTTATACAAATCAGGATATCTGCCATACCCTTTTAAAAATTAGGGAGTAATTACTTAAACTTGAATTGCTATTTAGAATTCCATTTACTACAAATTATTCAGGGATATTTTATGTAAACCAAGAGGAATTTTTAACTCCCCAGTTATCTTACCCTATAATGTTATGACATGTAGTATATTATTAATGGAAAACTGTAGAATCAAGGTTAGTTGTATCATTCTATTTAATCCATTTCCACAACTTCTTATCTATAATCTAAAATCCTTAAAAATTCTGAAAAAATACTTATTTAGAATTAAAAACTGTACTAAACTGACATACAAGTATTTATAGTCTTTATAACACTCAGTGTAAATGTTCATGTGTTTTACTGCAGAGATATTAATGTGTTGGAGTATCCAGTTCCACCCCAAGCCCTCCTGGCGGGGTGCTATTACCTTCTAAAAAACCTACCAAAAGTTTGAATTCCTGAATATGTATGGCCCCAGAAGTTTAAAACTAGAAAACTGTGCATCTCTAGTATTTGCCTGTCTGCACCAGATGAACATATTCTAATATTTGACCCTACAGTATACTATGTAATTTATTGAATAATCAAAGATGGCATCATTTTATGGGAGGCAGGAATAATACAAACTATCGGATATTCTAGTTTTAGCACTACAGTAAAATAGATAAAATAATAACTGAAACAAAAAATAACAACCACAACTAATTTTAACTATTTTGTGTCAAGCAGTGTGCATTTAATAATTGGATTTTTAGAACTCCCTTAATATGTAGGGAGTGCTAATATTAGCACTGTTGTAAGTAAATAACTGAAGTTTAGAAGGATAAGAAATTTGCTTATGGTCACGGAACAAGAGCAGAACCAGTACACAAACCTGTCTGTTGGAATCCACAGCCCATGCCGTAACACCTCTACAATACTGCTATAATATAATCTCTAATTTATCACATAAGACTCTTAATAAATATGAAATTTAGTTTTACTATCCCCATGACTTCTTGTCAGTTATTCACAGGAAAATTGCTAATAGCAAATCAGCTTCCTTTCTTGATCCAGCATGTTTCTGAGATCCTCCCTCAGTTGGCATGTGTTTAAGAAATACAAATGAATTTTAATATGAGTCTAATAAATATAATTATGGTGGTAAATCTGCTGGAATCATATAATGAATTTTAAACCCAACATAAATGCCTTTTTGGATTATCTGTCACTTGGGATTACTTGTACTGTGATCCTGTCTATGAGTAGATAATTGAATGTTGGCTATCTTAACTGTGACTGAAAGTTCTGATGCTAAGAAGAAAATGAATCATATAATGTGAGTTTGCTAATTTACTTAATAATTAATTTGGGATTTTATCACAGGAATTATTTAAAACCAAAAACACAGAGTAACTTTATCTCATGGGAACCAGAATTCTGTTTGGATCAAAGAAGTGATTAATGTGCCTGACTCTTTTCTTTTTCTTATTTATTCAGTAATAAATAATTGAATAACGTACAGTTGTTGTTTTCTTAGAGATTTTATAAGGAAAACCAATAAAGGAAAAAATAATTCTGCTAAGATATGTTGTTGAAAT